>NC_000022.11:30376230-30527745 GCF_000001405.40 Homo sapiens | reverse complement strand
AGGACTTTTTTTTTTTTTTTTTTTTTTTTTTGAGACAAGGTCTCACTCTGCCACCCAGGCTGGAGTACAGTGACATGATCTTGGCTCACTGCAGCCTCGACCTCCAGGGCTCAAGCAGTCCTCTCACTTCAGCCTCCCAAGTAGCTGTGACTACAGGCATGACCACACCTGGTTACATGTTAGGACTTTTGATAACTTTTTCAGTGTAGCGCTCACACAGATTGCAGAGTTTAACTCCACCAACTGTGTGTGAATGTGCCCATTTTCCCACACTCTTGCCAAGGTTGGACATCAATAATTAAAAATATTCTTGCCTTTTTTATAATGGAAAATGATGTTTATTATTATTTTACATTGGGTTATTTGGTTCTTTTATTACTCGTGAGGTTGGACATTTTCTTTATAATTGACTATTTTAATTTGTTGTTTATTGCCTTCTTGTGTCTCATGACCATTTTCTAGGAAAGTATTTTTTATGCCATTAATTTATAAATACTCTTTGCATATTAAACACCTTGTCCTTTCCTGCTATGGAGGCTGACAACATGGGAGGATCACGTAAGTCCATATATATAGATATGTGTGTGTATATATATGTATATATTTGAGATATATACTTATATATATGAAATATATATATTTATTTCAGAGATAAGGTCTCTCTGTGTTTCCCAGGCTGCAGCGCAGTGGCATGATCATAGCTCACTCTAGCCTCAACCTCCTGGGCTCTAGCGATCCTCCTGCCTCAGCCTCCTGAGTAGCTGGCACTATAGATGCACACTACCACACGTGGCACATTTATTGTTATTTTTTGTAGAGTCATGTCTTTACTATGTTACCCAGACTAGTCTCAAACTCTTAGCCTCAAGCAGTCCTCCTGCCTGGGCCTCCTGAAGTGCTGGAATTACAGGCGTGAGCCACCATGTCTGGCCCTTTCCTGTCATATTTGTGGCATTTTGGCCAGTTCATAGTTTGCCTATTATCTAATTTTTGACTTAGTGTTATTTATTTATTTATGAGATGGGGTTTCACTCTGTTGCCCAGGCTGGAGTACAGGGTGTGGTCTCGGCTCACTGCAGCCTCTGCCTCCCGGGCTCAAGCAATTCTCCCTTCTCAGCCTTCCAAGTAGCTGGGACCACAGGAGTGCACCACCAGGCCCAGCCTAGTGTTTTGTTTTTATGCCAAATTAGGGGGCTTTTCCTTTGATTTTTCCACCGCTTTCATGCTTATACAGTCCTTCTCTCTCCGAGGGTACTGGGTGTCCACCTCTGCTTTCGTCTACTTTGTTCCTGCAATGCCCGTGTCCCTTTGTGGAACATCCTTGGCCATCTCAGAGCAGCTTGTGGGGAACTGACCCGAGCTTGGCCCTGCAATTCTGAGGGTGCTGGAGCCCTGGGAGCTGAGGGCAGTATCTGACCAGAAGGCTGAGTTCAGTCTCTAAGGGAAAGCGAAGACCGGGTCATAGCCTGCCTGACCTCAACCCCAGGCTCCAGGAGTTGCTGGTCCGAGTTCCTATGAACGTGGCCAATGGGCCAATACCTGGACAGATGTGGGGGCAGGGCCTGCAGGGGCAGTAAGAGAGGGGCAGGCCTGGGACAGGACCTAGTCAACACAGCACATGCTGAGCCCCAGGACAAGACCTAGGGCCACTTGGCTTCCCTCTTCTGGGACAGGACTGCTCTAGGCAATGGAGTGGCAAAAGCGCGCCAGGGAGGGAGAGCAGCTGGCCAAAGGACAGACCTGGGCTCAGCCCCCTCTGCCCTCTGTTGAGTCTCCTGAGTCCCTTTGGAGTCCCTCTCTTGCTCCCATGCAGACAACTGGAAGCAGGAGCTGACAAAATTCATCAGCCCCGACCAGCTGCCCGTGGAGTTTGGGGGGACCATGACTGACCCCGATGGCAACCCCAAGTGCCTGACCAAGGTACAGGGTGCCCAGAGGATGGGGAAGGAGGGGAGAAGCTGTGACCTAGTGCCCACACACCCCCTTCACCCACAGATCAACTACGGGGGTGAGGTGCCCAAGAGCTACTACCTGTGCAAGCAGGTGAGGCTGCAGTATGAGCACACGAGGTCCGTGGGCCGCGGCTCCTCCCTGCAGGTGGAGAACGAGATCCTGTTCCCGGGCTGTGTGCTCAGGTAGGGATGGCAGCCACTCTACACCTGGGCACATCTGGGAGGGGCCTGGAGCCCAGGCAGGGGGTCGCCAATGGGGCTCTATCCACTGCAGGTGGCAGTTTGCTTCAGATGGTGGGGACATTGGCTTTGGGGTTTTCCTGAAGACCAAGATGGGGGAGCGGCAGAGGGCTAGGGAGATGACAGAGGTGCTGCCCAGCCAGCGCTACAATGCCCACATGGTGCCTGAAGATGGGATTCTCACCTGCCTCCAGGCCGGCAGCTGTAAGAGTTGGCAGGGATGGCTCTACCTGGAGCTGGGGGCTAGGGGGAGGGTGCTACAATGTGCATCCAGGTCCTACCAGGTGAGGGCCCTTGGTTCTGGTGGGCACAGTGTGAGGCTGGCTCTGGGCTCTCAATTGTGGCAATGGTTCCCTGGTCTGGGTACCCACGCAGAGATTTACCACCATGGAAGTCAGAGTCCCAGGTGGGGCATCTTGTCTGAATGTCTGTCCCTCACTGCAGATGTCCTGAGGTTTTACAACACCTACAGCCTGGTTCATTCTAAACGCATCAGCTACACCGTGGAGGTACTGCTCCCAGACCAAACCTTCATGGAGAAGATGGAGAAATTCTAGGTGAACCTCATGGTCCCCACACCCTCCTCTTTGATCTCTGAATCCACAATGAGTTCACAGCCTTCCCTGGCCAGACCCTGTTCAACCTCTCAGGAACAGGGATTCTACAACAGCAGGTCACAGCCTATGCATCACAGCTGGCCCACTCCTCAGGAACGGCTGGGACAGTGTCCTAGTGGTGGCCCGATGGTCACAGCAAAGCAACACAGACACTCCATCCCCACTATGACCTGCTGTGACCTCAAGCTCAGCAAAAACCCCAGGCTTTTTTCTATCAACCAATACCAAGAAATAAGTTACTCTTCTAAAATATAGTATTAGGCCAGGCATGGTGGCTCATACCTGTAATCCCAGCACTTTGGGAAGCCAAGGCGGGCAGATCATTTGAGGTCAGGAGTTCGAGACCAGCCTGGCCAACATGGTGAAACCCTCATCTCAACTAAAAATACAAAAATTAGCCAGGTGTGATGGTGCCTGCTTGTAATTCCAGCTACTTGGGAGGCTGAGGCAGGAGAGTCGCCTGAACTTGGTAGGCAGAGGTTGCAGTGAGCCGAAATCATGCCACTGCACTCCAGTCTGGGTGACAGAGTGAGACTCTGTCTCAAAAAAATAAAATAAAATAGTATTAATAGGAAATTTGAAATATAGTATAGCTGACAGATCAGGAAATAATTACCATTGAAAAGATAGTTTATTACTCACAGTTCCCAAGAGGAGGGGCCGCTGTGCCATAGGGGGAAGAGGAGGGGTCCCCAGGGAGGCATCAGGGCCGAACATGACGCACATGAGACAGAAAAACTCTGGACAAAGCAACTTTACTTTTATGATGGTTTCTGCAGGAAGGAACTGGTGAGGCAGGGTAAGCAGGCTTGAGATTTGCTAGTTTGAATAATTTCAGCAGGCTCCGTGGAATAAGGGCTGTCACTAGCTGTCTGGTATCTTGCCCTGGGGTGATTACAGCAGGTGGATAGTGGCCTGGAGTGTGAGAATCTGATAAAGGAGGTAGTTGGAATATGGTTTATATCAGTTGGTTTGCATTCGAAAAGTGCATTTGTGGGCAAGTTGCTGTATCTCTAGGAGAGGCAGGCCCTCCAGGATTAGCAAAACCTCAGATGTTAAAGCATGCAGAAAATAAAAGACATGGTTCAAATAGTTCCCTAACAAGCAGTTGTGCAATGCTGCTCTGAATGGAAATCCAACCTCACAGTTTCCCATCTAGAAAGAATTTTAAACTCTCTATTCTGTCTTCCACATACACGTTCCCTCCCACTGTTATAGCATCTGAGAATCTGCTTGAGCTCTGGATCTTCATCCAATCTCCTGATTAAGATTTCAAACTGGCCAGGTGCAGTGGCTCACACCTGTAATCCCAGCACTTTGGGAGGCTGAGGCATGTGGATTGCTCGAGGCCAGGAGTTTGAGACCAGCCTGGACAACATGGCGAAACCCCGTCTCTACGAAACATACACAAATTAGTTGGGTGTGGTGGCGGCGAGTGCCTGCAGTCCCAGCTACTTGGGAGGCTGAGGTGGGAGAATCTGTGGAACCCAGGAGGCGGAGGTTGCAGTGAGTTGAGATTGCACCACTGCACTCCAGCCTGGGAAACAGAGCAAGACCCTGTCTTAAAAAAAAAAAATTCAGACTGAGCCTCACAGTGGGACACTAGGTCGGTGTCAGCCCACAGTCCTACTAGAGTGCTGTCCTGCGATCAGGCCTCTTTGGGTCTGGCTATGCTGTCAGCTGAGATTCTGCCCAGGATCCTGTCACTCACATGTTGTCCCAGCTTGTTCTCAATGTGGCAGCCCCAAATGACAGCCAAAGTTCTTCCCTAATTGCCTACTTTACAGGAATCCTGTCCAAAAATGGAAACACGGGCATTCAGCAGCCCTTGCTCTCCCTCAGCCCCTCCCCTGACAGCCACTGATCTGTTCTTCATCCCTACACTTTTGATTTTTTCCAGAGTGTCATATAAATGGAATCGTGCAATATTTAGCCTTTTGATTCTGGCTTTCTTTAGTCAGCATAATGCCTCTGAGATTCATTCACTTTGTTGCATGTGTTAATATTTAGTTGCTTTTCGTTGCTGAGTAATATACCACTGTATGGATGGACCACACTGTGTTTATCCCTTCCCCTGTTAAAGGCTGGTTGAGTCGCTTCCAGTTTGGGGGCGATTATGAATAAAGCTGTTGTAAGCATTCGTGTACAGGTTTTTTGTGATCCTAAATTTTCACTTCTCCAGGGTATCAATACCCAGGAGGAGAATTCCTGCTGGGACCTATGGGAAGGGTACATTTAATGTCACGGGAAACGGACAACGTGTTTTGCACAGAAGTTGCACCATTTTCCCAAAAGCAGCATGTAAGCATCCCAGTTGCTTCCCATCCTTGCCTGGTGCTGTTAGTTATCCTGATATTAACTATTCGAATAGGCCTGTGGTTAATGTGGTTTTTATTTATTTATTTATTTATTTTATTTTATTTTTTTGAGATGGAGTTTCACTCTTGTTGCCCAGGCTAGAGTGCAATGGCATGATCTTGGCTCACTGTAACCTCCACCTCCCGGGTTCAAACAATTCTCCTGCCTCAGCCTCCCAAGTAGCTGGGATTACAGGTGCACACCACCACACCGGCTAATTTTTGTATTTTTAATAGAGACAGGGTTTCACCATGTTGGCCAGGCTGAGCTTGAACTCCTGACCTCAGGGGATCCACCCACCTCAGCCTCCCAAAGTGCTGGGATTACAGGCATGAGCCACCATGCCCGGCCAATGTGGTTTTAATTTACATTGCTTCAATGACTAGTAGTGCTGAGCATCTTTTCATGAACATGAAAAAGGCATGGTCGGCTGGGCATAGTGGCTCACACCTGTAATTTCAGCTCTCTGGGAGGTTGAGGTGGGAGGATCACTTGAGCCCAGGAGTTCTCTGTCTCTGTAAAAAGAAAGAAAAAGGAAAGGAAAGGGGAAGGGGAAGAAGGGGAGAAAGGAAGAAGGAAGGAAAGGAAAGAAGGAAGGGAAAGAAAAGGAAGAAGAAGGAGGAGGAGGAGAAGAGGAAGAAAAAGAAGGAGGAGGAGGAGAGGGAGGGAGAGAGAGAGAGAAAGAAAGAGAGAAAGAAAGGAAAAGAAAAAGAAGGAAGGAAAGAAAGAAAAAGGAAAGAAAAGAGAAAGAAGGAAAGAAAGAAGGAAGGGAGGAAAGGAAGAAAGAAAGAAAAGAAAGAAAAAGAAAGAGAAAGAAAAAGAAAAGGCAGGCATGGTGTGTGAGATGAGACAGGCTCGAGTTCAAGTGCTGTTTCTAGCACTCACTGCCTGGCTTTGGCCAGTGATCAGACCTCTCTGAGCCTCCATCTCCTCATTGGCAAATGGGTGAGATAGCGTCTGCCTCATAGAGTGGTTGCTATAGGATAAAGGAGATTCCGCAGGCACCAGCAAGCCTCCAGGGGAAGGCAGCTGCTATTGGGAGCTGATAACTAGTGTTGGAGCCCACCAGGGAGCCACGCTGCACTGTCCCACAAGCTTTCTCCATGCATCTTGGTCCCATCTTCCTGTGCTTGTCCTGGCTGCCCTACAGGCCCCTGTTAGGTGCCCCCAGTTCTGATCTCCAGGTGCACTCTGGGCCTAATGCCCTCCCTGCATCTCCTCCCATCTGGCTGCCAGCTCCACCTGCAGTGTGGGCCAGCCCTGCCCCTGGTCTCTTGCATGTCGACCTCAGAGACTCCCTTATGCCTGCCCCAGAATTCAACCGTCCCACCTGCCCTGTTTCTGGACTTCTCTTAATTCACCTGATAGTTCCAAGGGTGCCTGCCTGCTCTTTCCAGGCCATGTAAGGCTGGCTCCTCATCTCACCCTGCAGAGACCTCTTGTCCAGATTCAGGGCATGTGTCTGTTCTCTGTGACCTTTGTGTAGCCACTGGTTCCATACCTATTGGCTTCCACTGCTGTTAGCTTGTGAACTTATATGACTTTCCATGGACTCTTCCTTTTTTTATTTTTATTTTTTAGAGACAGGGCCTCGTTCTGTCACCCAGGCTGGAGTTTAGTAGCATGATCATAGCTCACTGCAGCCTTGAACCCCTGGGCTCGAGTGATCTTCCCACCTCAGCCTGCCATGTAGCTGGGACTACAGGTGCACACCACCATGCCCAGTTAATTTTTTAATTTTTTTTAGAGACAGGGTCTCACTCGGTTGCCCAGGCTGGTTTCTAACTCCTGGCCTCAAGTGATCCTCCTGCCTCAGTCTCCCAAAGTAGTCCACACCCAGCCAGACTATTCCCTTTGAATGGTGTGTGCACATGGGAGAATCACTGGTGTAATACTAAATCAATGGTTTAGTATCCATCAAAGTTCAATAAGCACTGTGGAGAGGTGACACAGATGGCAGCCGCCCATGTGGGCCCTGGGCATTGGGTAAACCATCTTCAGCTCTCAGTATACACATTCCATGGCTGGGCACGACCTTGGCCATGGTGATGATAACTCTAGCAGCCGGGAAGGCAGCCCCTTGTGCATACTCCAGCTTGGTGGTGGCCCCCACCAAAGGGAGGGGGAGGCCTGGGTCTCTGCTCTGGAAGAACAGATGGGCCCTGGATTAGGAGCTAGGTGGGCTGCTGGCCTGAAAAGCCTCTTGGTAGCTGAAGCCTCGGTGGTTCACAGAGGGCCTCCTGACATTTACCATCTAGAGTTCTCCACTAACAACCTCCAGCTCTGGGCTGGTGCACAGCATGGAGTAGCTATTGCATAACGAATGATTTAATGAATGAGTGAATGAATGAATGAGTAATGTCAAAGTCCTCTGGCTCAGCTGAGCATGAGGCTCTGATGAATTGCGGGACACTCTGCTAAGGGATTCGTCTTCTGTACCACACCTCCCAGGGCCTCCTGTCTGACCCACAGCCCCTTAAGCCTTGGCCTCAGGCTGGCTGCCAAGGACAGCCACTGGGAGCCGGACCCTCATGTCCTATGGCTGGTGCTCAGCAGGCAGCAATTTCCTGGGCCAGCCTAACCACCACAGCAGGACTTTGTGGCTGAGCCTCCAACAGTTCAGGCTTCAGGGAACTCCTAGTCCCCTTTCCAAGGGTAGGGGGAGACTGGTGTGGCTCTCCCATCGCTGGGAGGATCACGCTGCAGCTCCTGCCTCATCAGGTGTTTTCCATCCAGCTCTTCATCCTGCCTCCCCCCACCCTGCTCCTGAAATTAATCTTGCCCCCTGAGGGCCCCTTCCTTCCAGTCTTTCTGTACCTTGTCACTGAGTGTGTCCTGTCAAAAGGAGCAGGCAGGCTGGGTGTGGTGGCTTATGCCTGTAATCCCAGCACTTTGGGAGGCTGAGGCGGGTGGATCACCTGAGGTCAGCAGTTCGAGATCAGCCTGGCCAACATGATGAAACCAATTATCTACTAAAAAATACAAAAAATTAGCCAGGTGTGGTGGCGTGCACCTATAATCCCAGCTACTTGGGAGGCTGAGGCAGGAGAATTGCTTGAATGTGGGAGGTGGAGGTTGCAGTGAGCCAAGATCACGTCGCTGCACTCCAGCCTGGGCAGAGCGAGACTCTGTCTCAAAAAAAAAAAAAAAAAAAAAAAAAGAAGCAGGCTGAGCCCCTTGGGGTCTGTGTGCTGATATTGTCCCAACAGGGTGACCAGGGATGGGAAGACACAGGAACTCCAGGGTGCTAGATTCTTTTTCTTTTTCTTTCTTTTTTTTTTTTTTTTTTTTTTTTTTTTGAGACGGAGTCTCACTCTGTTGCCCAGGCTGGAGTGCAGTAGCGTGATCTTGGCTCACTGCAATCTCCACCTCCTGGGTTTAAGCAATTCTCCTGCCTCAGCCTCCTGAGTAGCTGGGATTATAGGCATGCGCCATCACACCTAGCTAATTTTTGTATTTTTAGTAGAGATGAGTTTTCACCATATTGGCCAGGCTGGTCTTGAACTCCTGACCTCAAGTGATCCACCCACTTCTGCCTCCCAAAGTGCTGGGATTATAGGCATGAGCCTCTGCACCCGGCCATGCTTCTGCTTTCAAGAAAAGAGTTTAGAGGTTCCTCAGAAGTTAAACAGACCCAGTAAAAATTCCACTCCTGAGGACATGTTCAAAAGGTGGTAGGATGGCCCCAGTCTCCCCCTTAAAATGCCCACTTGTGAAGGTTTGCAATTATAAATCCTTTCTCTGCCCCTTTCAGATGCAAACTTTCCACCACCCAAAACTGTCTCTAAAAGGATCTGAGAGGCCAAGCATGGTGGCTCACGCCTCTCATCCCGGCACATTGGGAGGCCTAGGTGGGAGGATCCCTTGAGGCCAGGAGTTCAAGAACAGCCTGGGCAACACAGCAATACTCCGACTCTACAAAAAAATAAAAATTAGCAGGGCATGGTGATGTGCACCTGTAGTCCTAGCTACTTGGGAGACTGTGGTGGGAGGATCAGCCTGGGTGACAGAGCGAGATTCCACCTCAAAAAAAAAAGTCTCCTGCTTTTTGTTTCAGTGAAGTTGAGTTGAGTTGATGTTGGGCTGTCTTTCCTATTACAATGGTTATTGTAATAATGGAGACTACTGAATAGTTTGTCTCCATTCCTTTAATTAGGGTTTGGCTTTGTTTATCTTTGACACTAGCAAATTGGACAGTGTGGATATATAGGATGTATGTATCATTGTGGAAAACTCTGTATAACCTGATGATATCGGCCAGGCATGGTGGCTCATGCCTGTAATCCTAGCACTTTGGGAGGCTGAGAAGGGGGGATTGTTTGAAGCCAGGAGGTTGAGATCAACCTGAGCAACATAGCAAGACTCCCCCTCCCCCCACCAACTCTACAGAAAATGAAAGACAATTAGCCAGGCATGGTGGTGCATGCTGGTAGTCCTGGCTACTCAGGAGGCTGAGGTGGGAGGATCACTTGAGCCCGGGAGTTTCAGGCTGCAGTGAGCTGTTATTGCACCATTGTACTCCAGCCTGGGTAAGAAAAACTCAAAAACATTATGACATCATCAAATCTTCTAAAGAGAGAGCCACCTGAGCCAAACTGATCCTTCATCTCTTACGAGATGATTCCTCCAAATAGTCCAACCAATGAGGAGATATATATATATATGGAGAGAGAGAGCGAAAGAGAGAGAGAGAGAGAAACAGAGTCTTACTCTGTCACCCAGGCTGGAGTGCAGTGGCATGATCTTGGCTCACTGCAACCTCTGCCTCCTGGGTTCAAGTGATTCTCCTGCCTCAGCCTCCTGAGTAGCTGGGATTACAGGTGCCCGCCACCACACCTGGCTAATTTTTTTTGTATTTTTAGTAGAGGCGAGGTTTCACCATGTTGGCCAGGCTGGTTTTGAACTCCTGACCTCAAGTGATCCGCCTGCCTCTGCTTCCCAAAGTGCTAGGATTACAGGCATGAGCCACTGCACCCAGCTGAGGCAAAATACTAAAGAAGCCAATCACACCGATGACTCCTAACAACTGGATGGCATAAACAGCCATGTCGGAGGAGAGAAGGGGCATATCAGGCTGTAAACAAATCAACCCACCCTGCATAAAAGGTGTGAACTTGACAAGTCTGATTGAGGTAACAAAGTTTAACCATACCTAGTAAATTCAGCCTGATAACCATCAGCTCAGGTTTTAATCCCCTTGGGAGAAGTCCCAGGTTCCATGCCCCCTGCAATGTAGAGTTAATTGGTTAATAACTTGGAGTTGTAACACCAAGAAATGTCTAATGCCAATTTTGTTTCAGTTGGGCCTATTCAGATAACAATTCCAACAAAATAGTAAAATGCTAATTTTGAAACTCAAGGAAGATGTCAAAGTGTGCAGCTGTAACCCTACACTGTAACCATGTGACTACACTGTAGGAAGGTATAAAAGTAGAACAGAAAGAGTCAATCCACAGATTAATTTCAGGTGGGATGTTTAGGAACAGGTTTAAATATAAGTATAGTACTAATCTGGGGGCCATTGGATCTCTGCATTTGCTGTTTAAAGTGAGGTAGGAGACGGGACTCGACTCCAGGGGCAGGGCTTGGACACTGGACCAAATTGAGGACAAGCTAAAACAGGGCTGGAGTGGAAGCAGCGTTCCATCAGACATGACCATCAGTGTGCCATATCAGTTTACCATTGCCATAACAACACTTGGGAGTTACCGCCCCTTTCCATGGCAATGACCCCATGACCCAAAAGTTACTACCCCTTCCCTAGAAATTTCTGCATAAACTACCCCTTGGTCCGCATGTTATTAAAAGTGGGTATAAATGTGACTGCAAAACTGTCCTGGGCTGCTACTCCCTGCCTATGGGGTAGCCCCACTCTGCAGGGGCAGTCACAGACCTACAACACTGCCTCTTCGATAAAGCTGTTTTCTTCTACCTCCAGCTTGCCCTTGAATTCTTTCCTGTGCAAAGTCAAGAACCCTCAAAGGCTAAGCCCCACTTTAGGACTTGCCTGCCCTGCATCCAAGTTATCTGAAGTGCTCAAAACAATCAGCTGTAATGTATTTGTAATTTACAGGTAGAACATAATGTCCACAGACCAGGTACCAAACAATACCCAGCCCTTGATACTCCCTGAGCGAGCTTGCTGATAGAGATCTGGTGTGGAGCAAAGGTGAGGCGCTGACCTCTCCCCGCCCACTGCTTGCTCCTCCTCACACCCACCATGAATCTTTGCAACAGGCTTCAGACCAGTTTCCCTGCTCTGAATGTCCGCTATTCCCAGGTCATTCTTCAGATCGGGCCCATGGTTATCTTCCAGGCACAGGTGGAATCACATTGGTCTCTTCCTTTGAAACCTTCCATGGCTCCCCACCACTGAGAAGGGATGGCCCAAAGCCCGCAGCATGGCCTGAAGTTCCTTGGTGACCTCCCCTCAATGTTTTCAAGCTTGCTGCCTTCGTGACGTTTCTCCTCTCTCTTACCTCTGTGAGTTTCTTTGGGTGGTCACCTCTACCCAGAATGTCCTCCTCCCCTTTCTACCTTAGAGGCCCATCCTAAATGCCATCTCCTTTGGGAGACATTCCAGGAGCCCCCAGTGCAGTGCTGTTGCTTAGACCTCTTCCGGAACACATTATCTTCAGGGAGCCAGGATAGTGTGGTGATTAAGGACAAGAGGCCTTGGATGCAAATGGATAAGGGTTCAAATCCTGGCTCAGGCTGTTACCAGCCCCAGAAGCTCAGTCTCTGCATCTGTAAAGTAGGATCATGGGTACCACGATGAGCATGGCAAATGTGGTGAGAGTTAACGGGGTGAGTCAAACAGTCACCACAAACAATGCCTAATGAAGATCATACTCTGAAAAAGAGGAGTAGGGTCTGTTTGACCATTTAACCAGGAGGTCTGAGGATGTGAGGTGCCACTAACTAGGCGGTGTGCAGGGAGATGAGGGAGGAGTGTTCAAGTCAGAGGGAACAGCATGTCCAAAGGCCTTGTGGTAGGAGGCAGCAGCAAGGAGAGATTAAATGGCCCCATATACTCCTGACCTGGTGTACTGTGGCTTGGGAAAGGCCAGGGACCTCCTGGCTTTTTCTTTTCTTTTTTGAGATGGAGTTTTGTTCTTGTTGCCCAGGCTGGAGTGCAATGGCTCGGTCTCAGCTCACTGCAACCTCCGCCTCCCGGGTTCAAGTGATTCTCCTGCCTCAGCCTCCCAAGTAGCTGGGATTACAGGCACCCACCACCATGCCTGGCTAATTTTTTGTATTTTTAATAGAGATGGGGTTTCGCCATGTTGGCCAGGCTGGTCTCAAAATCCTGACCTCAGGTGATCCACCTACCTCAGCATTCCAACGTGCTGGGATTACGGAAGTGAGCCACTGCATCTGGCCTTTTTTTTTTTGAGACAGGGTCTTGTTCTGTTGCCCAGGCTGGAGTTCAGCGGCACAATCATAGCTCGCTGCAGCCTCGAACTCCTGGGCTCAAGTGAGCCTCTCACCTCAGACCTCCAAGTAGTTGGGACTATAGGTGCTTTCTACTCTATTGGCTAATTTTTTTTTTCTTCTTTTTGAGGAGACGCAGTCTCACTATGTTGCCCAGGCTAGTCTCAAACTTCTGGCCTTAAGCAAGCCTCCTGCTTTGGCCTCCTAAAGTGCTGGGATTATAGGCATGAGCCACTGCACCCCCCTACTCCTGCTTTTGTAGGGAAAGAAAGAAGTCCAAGTGTGGCCCTAGGGCCCCTGAACCCTAATCCACCTTTTCCCCTGGTCCCAGGACTTTAGGGCAGCTGGCTAGGTTCCCCTTCCCCATCCCTCTCTCTTCCAGGCCCTAGCGGCCATCTCCCTTCCTTGGGGAAGTAGGGAGGGCATGGCCACACCAGGCCTCTTCTTTCCCTGAGGTCACCCTGGGTTGGTGAGGGGAGCTAAGAAAACTCCTTCTGATTAGGCCCCAGAGCCTCATTTCCACCTCCCAGTCAGGCCCAGGTGAGAGGCTGCCGCCCTGCCCCGGGCACCTGTGTCAGGCAGCTTCCTCCCAGCCCTCTCTCCAGAGTCACTCAAGCCAAGTCCAACACAGTTGGAGCAGCATCCAGTGGGATCTGTCTGGTCAAGACAGACTCAGGGAGCGGCTGATACAGCTTTGATGTAGGGCAAAGGCCCATTTCACTTCCCACAATGCATGTCATTCACCCCAGGGAGTTCTCTTCAGTTGGCAGGCCACCGGCTTTAATGAGGGCTGTCAGCATGGGACCTGTGGCAAATGAACAATGCCAGAAATTTTAGGAACACTTGGAAGGTGGGAGTGAGAGGCATCACAGTGCATGGGCATTAAGATGTGGGATGCAGGTTGCATACCATGAGAGCACCATCATCACAGTCCAGCTTCTCAGCTCACGGGTCAGGAGGGACTGTGGGCATGAGCCACATTTCGGAAGGCTGAAAGAGAAGGGCACACCACGTAAGAGAGGCGTTATCTGCCCCCCAAAGCACTGGCGCCCAGATGGTTAGAACTAAAGTTCTCCATGCCCGGCAACAGCTGAGGTTTGAAGGAAGCATCTTTGTGCTGCAGGCTCAGGGGAGGATGTCTGCCCTGTATTGAATAGAGGGGGACATGAGGGTGACCTAAAACCAGGGGAGCTCAGCCCGCAGAAGGACATGGCATAGTGACAAGTGCCAGGGCTCCGGTCCTGGCATTGCTGCTTGCTGGATATGAGACTCAGGAGGCTCTTCGAGCTTCAGTTTCCCAGCCCGACTGCACAGCACAGTGAGGAGGATTAAATGCACTAACGCTGCACTATCCTATATGGCAACCACTCATCCTATTAGTGCCCTAGGACTGCTGTATGTAACACAGTGCCCCACACTGAGCAGCCTGAACAACAGAATTTTATTCTCAGAATTCTGGAGGCTGGAAGTCCAAGATCAAGGTGTCAGCAGGGTTGGTTCCTGCTAAGGATTGTGAGGAAGACTCCGTTTACCACCTCTCCTCTAGCTTCTGATGGTTGGCCAGTAATCTTTGGCGCCCCTTGACTTGTATTATAGATGCATCACTCCACAATCTGTTTTCATCTTCACATGATGTTCTCCCTATGTGCGTGTCTCCCCATGTGCATCCAAATGGCACCATTTATAAGGACATACTGGACTAGAGGCCCACTCTACTCCCATACGACCGCTAATTACATCTGCAATGACCTGTTTCCAAGTAAGGTCACGTTCTAAAGTACCAGGGACTAGGACTTCAACATGAATTTGGTAGGGGATATATGTGGCTTATTGAATATGCACTCAAAATATAGCTAGTTACAATGAAAATGTGCTGTATTAAATACGCACAGCATTTTAAAGATTTAGTACAAAAATTAATGCAACATATCTCACTATTAATTATTGAGGTAATTAACTTATCTAATTTGTTAATCATATTTATCACATTTTTTTTTTTTTTTTTTTTTTGAGACGGAGTCTCGCTCTGTCGCCCAGGCTGGAGTGCAGTGGCGGGATCTCGGCTCACTGCAAGCTCCGCCTCCCGGGTTCACGCCATTCTCCTGCCTCAGCCTCCCAAGTAGCTGGGACTACAGGCGCCCGCCACTACGCCCGGCTAATTTTTTGTATTTTTAGTAGAGACGGGGTTTCACCGTTTTAGCCGGGATGGTCTCGATCTCCTGACCTCGTGATCCACCCGCCTCGGCCTCCCAAAGTGCTGGGATTACAGGCGTGAGCCACCGCGCCCGGCCATATTTATCACATTAAAATGATATTTTGGATGTATTATTTTTTGTTTTGTTTTGAGACGAAGTGTCTCTCTGTTGCCCAGACTGGAGTGTAATGGTGTGATCTCAGCTCACTGCAACCTCTGCTTCCCGGATTGAAGAAATTCTCCTGCCTCAGCCTCCCAAGTAGCTGGGATTATAGGTACCCACTATCATGCCCAACTAATTTTTGTATTTTTGTAGAGACTGGGTTTCACCATGTTGGCCAGGCTGGTCTTGAGCTCCTGACTTCAGATAATCCCCCTGCCTTGGCTTCCCAAAGTGCTGGGATTACAGGCGTGAGCCACTGCACCCAGCCAGATATGTTATTAAAATAATGTTTTTGTTTTCAGATGGGATCTCTCTGCTGCTGAGGCTGGCATGCAGTGGTCTTGTGTCCAGAGTTTGTTCCTTCCAGTGGGTTCGTGGTCTGGCTAACTTCAAGAATGAAGCTGTGGACCTTCACGGTGAGTGTTACAGCTCTTAAAAGTGGCAGAGACCCAAAGAGTGAGCAGCAGCAACATTTACTGTGAAGAGCAAAAGAACAAAGATACTGCACTGTGGAAGGAGACCCAAGCAAGTTCCCGCTGCTGGCTGGCGGGTGGTGTGGATAGGGTGGGAGGGGGTGGCCATCTTTTATTCCCTTGTTTGTCCCCGCCCACATCCTGCTGATTGGTCCATTTTACTGAGTGCCAATTGGTCCATTTTACAGAGCGTTGATTGGTCCATTTTACAAACCTCTAGCTAGCCACAGAGCGCTGATTGGTGCGTTTTTACAGAGCACTGATTGGCATATTTTACAAACCTCTAGCAAGCCACAGAGTGCTGATTGGTGCATTTTACAATCCTCTTATAGGACAGAACAGTTCTCCAAGTCCCTACCTGACCCAGAAATTCAGCTGGCTTCACCTCTCGGTCTGATCATAGCTCACTGCGAACTTAAACTCTTGGGCTCAAGCAATCCTCTTGCCTTAGCCTCCCAGGTAGCTAGGACCACAGGTTCATGTCACCATGCCCGGAATATTTTTTCTGGCTAATTTTTTTTAAATGTTTTTTTAGAGACAAGGTCTTGCTTTGTTGCCTAGGCTGGTCTTAAACTCCTGGCCTCAAGTGATCCTCCCACCTTAGCCTCCCAAGCAACTGAGATTACAAGTGCAAGCCACCGCTGTCTGCTTAGAATAAATTTTTTTTTTTTTGAGACGGAGTTTTGCTCTTGTCACCCAGGCTGGAGTGCAGTGGCACGATCTTGGTTCACTGCAACCTCTGCCTCCTGGGTTCAAGTGATTCGCTTGCCTCAGCCTCCAGAGTAGCTGGGACTACAGGCGTGTGCTACCACGCCCGGCTAATTTTTCACCATATTGGCCAAGATCGATCCCCTGACCTTGTGATCCGCCTGCCTCGGCCCCCCAGAGTGTTGGGATTACAGGCATGAGCCACCACGTGCGGCGCTTAGAATGAGTTTTTACACAGCTCTGGAGGATTGAAAGTTATCCGTGTGGCTTGTATTATTTTTCCACTGGACAGCCCTGAGCTATCATAATATTTACAAACCCTTAGAGCCAGCCTGGTAAGTAGAAAGTACCTGTAAGTGATAGTTAAATAAAAGCTTCTCTTGGGAGGTGATTTGTTACCTCTGGTATTTCAAAATATGGCTTTTCCCACTCCTCAGAAACTGGGAAAAGTTGGGGCAAATTTATTTAAAACAGATTTTTTTTTTTTTTTTTGAGAAAAGATCTCCTCTCTGTTGCCAAAGCCGGAGTTCAGTGGCATAAACATGGCTCACTTTAGCCTCGATCTCCCTGGCTCAGGCAATCCTCCTGCCTCAGCCTCTGGTGTAGCTGGGACCACTGGTGCGTGCCACCACACCTGGCTAATTTTTTGATTTTCTGCAGAGACGGGGTCTCATTTTGTTGCCCAGGCTGTTTTCCAACACCTGGGCTCAAGCAATCCACCTACCTCAGCCTCCCAAAGTGTTGGGATTACAAGCATGAGCCACTGGGCCCAGCCCCAAATTTCTTTTCTTATCCAGTTTTTCTTTTACTGAGTAGTTTTTGTTTTATGTTCCAGAAGCATAAAGCATGCATTATGTGGTCCTGTCTTTCCCAAACTGTTGTTATAAACCCTTCCATCAACTACATTAAGCACCATAGCTTACTTTAAAATTGTCTCCAATCTTCCTGTTAACAACACACAAACAACTTTAAGCTTAAAATATTTTTTGTTAGGATTATCACTGGGCAAAGTGGGAAAATATTTCAGGATTCTGAAGTGTATGGTCAAGTGGTTTTCCAGAAAAGCTGAATTCGTTTATATTCCTGCCATCAATGTATTAATGTCTCCATTTCACCAACTTCTAACTGACTTTATTATTTTCTTTCTTTTTGTGACAGGGTCTCCCTCTGTCACTCAGACTGGAGTGCAGTGTCACAATCATAGCTCACTGCAGCCTCCACCTTCTGGGCTCAAGTGATCCTCCCTCCTCAGCCTCCCAAGTAGCTGGGACTACAGGAGCATGCCACCACGCCTGGCTAGTTTTTTAATTTTTTGTAGAGACGAGGTCCCACTATGTTGCCTGGACTGGTCTCGAACTCTTGGCTTCAAGAGATCTTCCCAAAGTACTGGGATCACAAGTGTTAGCCACTGTGCCTGGCCTATTATCTGAGTAGCTGGGACTACAGTCTCACCCCACCACACCCAGCTAATTTTGTAGTTTTTTCTTAAAAGGTGTGTGTGTGTCTGTGTGTGTGTGTTGTTTGTTTTTGCTGATTTTTCAGAGAAAAATGCATCTCATTACTTGAATACACATTTCATTGATGACTCTGGAGATTGGGCATTCATCCACTTGATAAATACACCCTGAGCATTTTCATTCCTAAGAATTGGTGCTTTGAATCCTTTGCCCATTTATTTCTTAGGGCCTTCCTATTTTTCTTATCAACTTGAATTTTTGTACATTTTATTTTTCCCAAATTTCCATCAGCAAATACTGACAAATGTCTTTTTTTTTTTTTTTTTGAGATGGAGTCTAGCTCTGTCGTCCAGGCTGGAGTGCAGTGGCATGATCTCAGCTCACTGCAACCTCTGCCTCCCAGGTTCAAGTGATTCTCCTGTCTCAGCCTCCCGAGTAGCTGGGATTATAGGCACCTACCACCATGCGCAGCTGATTTTTGTATTTTTCGTAGAGACGGGGTTTCACTGTGTTGGCCAGGCTGGTCTTGAACTCCTGATCTCCTGATCCGCCCGCCTCAGTCTCCCAAAGTTTGGGATTACAAGCGTGAGCCACAGCGCCCGACTCTGATAAATGTCTTAATTCTGTTTCTTGTTTAATAGATTTTTGTATTTTGTAGTCAAATCAATTCATTTTCCCTTTGTGATTCTGTCATTGTTTTTAAACACAGACCATGCCCTTCCAGAGATGTGGTGTCACTTTTACTTTCTTTTAGCATTTTTTATGATTTACTTTCTTTTTCTAAAAACATATTTTAAATCTCTATAGGGCAAACAATGTTCAAATTAAATATAATGCAAGTCATAAATGTGATCCATAAATGTAATTTTATTTTATTTATTATTATTATTATTTTTTGAGACCGAATCTCACTCTGTCACCCAGGCTGGAGTGCAGTGGCATGATCTCAGCTCACTGCAACCCCCGTCTCTGCCTCCTGGGTTCAAGTGATTCTCCTGTCTCAGCCTCCTGAGTAGCTGGGATTACATGCGCACAGCATCATGCCTGGCAAATTTTTGTGTTTTTAGTAGAGACGGGGTTTTACTATGTTACCCAGGCTGGTCTCAAACTGCTGGGCTCAAGCGATCCGCCCACCTCAGCCTCTCAAAGTGCTGGGATTACAGGTGTGAGCCACCATGCCCAGCCCATACGTGTAATTTTAAATCTTTCCAGTGGCTACTTTTTTTTTTTTGAGATGGAGTCTTGCTCTGTCTCCCAGGCTAGAATGTGATGGCGCAATCTCAGATCACCGGAACCTCCGCCTCCCGGGTTCAGTGATTCTCCTACCTCAGCCTCCCGAGTAGCTGGGATTACAGACGTGCACCACCATGCCCAGGTAATCTTTGTAGTTTTAGTAGAGACAGGGTTTCGCCGTGTTGGCCAGGCTGGTCTCAAACTCCTGACCTCAGGTGATCCACCCGCCTTAGCCTCCCAAAGTGCTGGGATTACAGACGTGAGCCACCACGCCCAGCCCCAGTGGCTACATTTTTTTTTTTTTTAAGTAAAAAGGATAGGTAGGAGCACAGAGGATTTTTAGGGCAGTGAAACTATTCTGCGTGATACCACAATGGTGGACACATGTCATTATACATTTGTCAAAACCCATAGAATATCCAACACCAAGAATGAGCCCTAATGTAAACTAGGAACTTTGGGTGATATTAGCGTGTCAGTGTAGGCTCATCAATTTCAGCAAATGGATATCTCTGGAACCAGAGGTTGTGTGTGTATGGGGACAGCAGATATGTGGGAACTCTGTACTTTCTGCCCAGTTTTGATGTGAACTTAAAACTGTCCTAAAAAATAACAATTTAGCTGGGCACTGTGGCTCATGCCTATAATCCCAGGACTTTGGGAGGCTGAGGCGGGAGGATCGCTTGAGCTCGGGAGTTTGAGACCAGCCTAGGCAGCATGGCAAAACCATGTTTTGTATTTTTCTTCAAAAAAATACAAAAATTAGCCGGATGTGGAGATGCACATCTGCAGTCCCTGCTACTGGGGAGGCTGAGGTGGGAGCACTGCTTGAGCTTCAGGGGTGGGGGGCGGTGGAGCTTGCAGTGAGCGGAGATTTTGCCACTGCACTCCAGCCTGGGTGACACATTGAGACCCTGTCTTAAAAAAAGAAAAAAAATTATCATTATAAATAATTCAAAATTATTAAAACATCAAAAGAAACAGGTGAAAGTAATATTAATAACATATTTTATTGTCCTATTATATTCAAAAATATCACTTAATATATAATCATTTATATAAAATTAATTAATGAGGCTAGGAGCAGTGGCACACGCTTGTAATACCAGCAATTTGGGAGGCTGAAGCAGATGGATGGCTTGAGCTCAGGAGTTTGAGACCAGCCTGGCTAACATAGCAAAACCCTGTGTCTATAAAAAAATAAAAATAAAAATAAAAATAAATTAGCCGGGTGTGGTGGGGTGAGAATGTAGTCCCAGCTACTCAGGAGGCTGAGGTGGGAGGATCACTTGAGCCCGTGAGGTCAAGGCTGCAGTGAGCCATGATTGCACCACTGCACTCCAACCTGGGTGACAGAGTGAGATGCTGTCTCAGTACATAAATAAATAAAATTAGTTAATGAAACATTTTACTTTTTCTGGTACTAAGCCATCAAAACTTGGTTTGTATTTTACAATTACAGCATGTCTCTATGCTTGTTATGACAAGCCACGTTGTCTGGGCTCAAAAGCCTCTGTGGCTCACGGCCACTGGGTTAGTCCTTTCGGGACTAGAGCTTGGTTTGATTCCATGGGAGGACAGAGGGAACAGGGTCTTGTGGCCTGTTTTACTCTCTCCTTCATCTTCACGTCCCCTCTACTCCTCTCTTGAAAATTCACACCCAGCCAACTTCTGTTTTCTTTTTTTGAGACAGAATCTGGCTCTGTCGCCCAGGCTGGAATGCAGTGGTGCCATCTTGGCTCATTGCACCCTCAACCTCCCAGGTTCAAGCAATTCTTGTGCCTCAGCCTCCTGAGTAGCTGGAACTACAGGCGTGGACGACCACACCCAGCTAATTTTTGTATTTTTAGTAGAGACAGGGTTTCACCATGTTGGCCAGGATGGTCTCAAACTCCTGACCTCAAGTGATCCGCCTGCCTTGGCCTCCCAAAGTGCCAGGTGCCAGGATTGCAAGCATGAGCCACCGCGCCTGGCTGAACTTTTTTCTTGCTTTTCCTAGTGATCTCCGCCTGGCTCTCTTGTGTCAGCCAGAGTGGCCTTTTGGCTCTCCGCCCACTCTGTCACTCTGCCCAGGGCTTCCATTGGTCCACGGCTGGCACCTTGCATGCCTCCACCTTCAGACTGTGGCTCTCACCCAGGAGCTCCGCACTTGGGACACCCTAGGATCTCCACCCCTGCAGCTCCCAGCTCTGGTGACAGCCTCAGTAATAACACAATTCTGAAATATATTCCTACCAGCCAGCACTTACTGAGCAGGCAACGCCAGACATTCTGCTGACCCAGGGTGCGTCCTCTTATCCTTCCAACCATCTTGAGGGCAGGAACCATTTTGCACATGAGGCTGTCCTATCAGTCAGTGAGCACTGACAGGTCCCAGGCTGTGTTCAAGGTCAGGGGAAGGAGCTTGGGGGTCATTAGACAAAAGCCCTGGGGGTCCTAGAGGGTTGAGCCAGGTTTATTAAAAATTCCTCCATGTTGGCCAGGTATGGTGGTTCACATCCCTAATCCCAGCACTTTGGGTGGCGGAGGTTGGAGGATTGCTTGAGGCCAGGAGGTCCAGACCAGCCTGGTCAGCATAGCAAAACCCGGTCTCTATTTTATTCAAAATAAGAAAAAGAAAAAAAAAATTTTTTTTTTTTTTGAGACGGAGTCTCACTCTGTCACCCAGGCTGGAGTGCAGTGGCGCGATCTCGGCTCACTGCAAGCTCCGCTTCCCGGGTTCACGCCATTCTCCTGCCTCAGCCTCCCGAGTAGCTGGGACTACAGGCGCCCGCCACCACGCCCAGCTAATTTTTTGTATTTTCAGTAGAGACGGGTTTTCACCATGTTAGCCAGGATGGTCTCGATCTCCTCCTGACCTCGTGATCCGCCCGCCTCGGCCTCCCAAAGTGCTGGGATTACAGGCGTGAGCCACCGCGCCTGGCCCAAAAAAAAAAAAACATTTAAAAAAAAATTTCCTCCATTTTGCTGGAAAGAGGATCTCAGTGTATTCCCTTTCCTGCCACCTGCGAACAGGCGGGAGCCCCCGCAGTAAGGAGGCCTGGAGGTGGCTGCCTCCAGCTGCCCCAGGCCACTCTCCCGGCAGGTCACCTCCCTGTCCCAAGTAGGGTGCGCTTGGTGACCGCAGCAAAAAATCCTGGAGAGGAGGAGAGAACTGGGCGGGGCGGGGCAGGCCCAGTGCCTCTCCCGTCGGGGCGGGACCAACATCTGGCCCAGGAGGCACAACCAGGCGGCAGCGGATACAAGGCCAGGCGGCGGCGGGCGGGCGGACCTGCGCCCTGAGCCTTTCTGCGCCCGCGGGCACCATGAGCAGCCGAGTCGGGGACCTGAGCCCCCAGCAGCAGGAAGCGCTGGCCAGGGTGAGGAGCATCGCGGGCTGGGAGGCTTGAGGAGGGGCCCTGAGCAGCCTGGCACTGCCCAACCCGGCTGGAGCCCCCATGGTACAGACTGGAACACCGAGCCTGGAGAGAGCGCCTCTGTTCTGCCCTCTGGTCCAGCGTGCGGTTGTTGAGGCGGCTACGTGCAGCACGCGGGACAGGGGCCCATCTCTGCGTGACCAGGAGCCGAATCCAGTCTTCTGACCTTGCGTGCTCTCCACCACCCGGCCCTGGTCCTTGTTCCCCGGTTGTGGGGGAGGGAGTGGCGCTGCCATCCGGCTGCGGGGGCAGCCTTGGGTAGACAGACTGCTTTTCATGTCCAGGTTGCAACATTTGTTTGTTTGGCTTCTCTTTGTGATTTGTTCTTAGGGCCCAAGCTTCTCTGTAATCTTTTTTTTTTTTTTTTTTGAGATGGAGTCTTGCTCTGTCGTCCAGGCTGGAGTGTAATGGCGCAATCTCGGTTCACTGCAACCTCCACCTCCTGAGTTCAAGCGATTCTCCTGCCTCAGCCTCCCAAGTAGCTGGGGCTACAGGTGCCCGCCACCACACCCGACTAATTTTTGTATTTTTAGTAGAGACGGGGTTTCACCATATTGGCCAGGCAGGTCTCTTGGACAGGCTGGTCTCGAACTCCTGACCTTGTGATCCATCCGCCTTGGCCTCCCAAAGTGCTGGGATTACAGGTGTGAGCCACTGCGCCCGGCCTCATATTTCTAATCCCAAATTTGGATTCACAGATTCACCTTCAAACCCAGCCTTTGCCTTCAGCTCTGTTGGTCCCCAGGGAAGTGAGATCTCCTCTCTCTCAGACGCAACAGATGCCCTGATAAGGCATTCCTGGCTTCTCTTTCAGCCCCTGTCTGTTGACCTCTGCCTCTGTTTTTTTTCCACAAAGCCTCCATTGTCCGGGGCATCAGGCAGTCCACGCTGGCTGAGTGCTCACATATATCTGACACCTGCTCGGAGCCAAGCCTGCTAAGTGTTTTACGTGCACAGACTCCTTTGATTGGTACAAGTTTATTTTTATCCCCATTTCAGAGATAAGGAAACTGAGGCTTAGAGAGGTTTGGTAACTTGCCTCTAAATCTAAACCCTCAAGATGCAGTATCAGGGACAACATTCCTAAAACCGCCTAGCTGGCCTGCATCAGACTCTCCCAGGGATCCTTGTAGAAATAAGGCTGTCAGTCGGGCATGGTGGCTCACGCCTGTGATCCCAGCACTTTGGGATACTAAGGCGGGTGGATTGTTTGAGCCAAGGAGTTTGAGACCAGCCTGGGCAACATAGCAAGATCCCATCTCTACAAAAAGTACAAAAATTAGCTGGGCATCTTGTGTGCCTGTGGTCCCAGCTACTTGGGAGTCTGAGCTGGGAGGATCTATTGAACCCGGGAGGCACGGGTTGCAGTGAGCCAAGATCACGCAACTACGCTCCAGCTTGGGCGATAGAGTGAGATCCTGTTTCAATAATAATAATAATAATAATAATAATATAAAAATAATAATAAAATAAAAATTAAAAATAAGGATGCCAGGGCCCCACCTTAGACATGTAGAATGGGAGTCCAGTGTGTAGGGCACTCCCAAATTTTGGGAAGGACCCAACTCTTTTTCCTATGTTGGGCTGGAGGGTGCCCTATTTTCAGATGGCAAAGTCGTTCAGGGCAGCACCCTGCATGGTCTTCTGGTGGAGTTGACTGGTGGATGATGTGGGAAGGGTTAGGGGCGGGGTTGGTGGCCCCCGAGGTCATGAGAGCTCCGCCGACCATCAGATCCTCCTCCGCTCAGTTCCGGGAGAACCTCCAGGACCTGCTGCCCATACTGCCCAATGCTGATGACTACTTCCTCCTGCGCTGGCTGCGAGGTGAGGCTTGCAGGGGTCAGGGGACGCAGAAAGGGAGGGAAGGAAGGAGGGTCTCAGGAGAGGAGTGGGAGACTTTGAGGGAATGGAGCTGTAGGGTAGTAAAGAACACAGGCTTGCCGGGCCCGGTGGCTCACACCTGTAATCCCAGCACTTTGGGAGGCCGAGGCAGGCAGATCACCTGAGGTCGGGAGTTCGAGACCAGCCTGACCAACATGGGGAAACCCTGTCTCTACTAAAAATACAAAATTAGCTGGCTTGGTGGCACATGCCTGTAATCTCAGCTACTCAGGAGGCTGAGGCAGGAGAATCGCTTGAACCCGGGAGGCAGAGGTTGCGGTAAGCCGAGATCCCGCCATTGCACTCCAGCCTGGGCATCAAGAGTGAAGCTCCGTCTCAAAAAAAAAAAAACAAAAAAACAAAAAACACAGGGTCTGGAATCAGCCTGCTCTGACTAGAATCTGAGCTCCCCTGTGTATGAGCACAGCACAAAACCCCACTGAGCCTCAGTTTCTTCATCTGTCAAGCAAGGATGAGGCAACAGGTGGGCACAGAGTCCAGGTGAGGTTACAGTTAACAGCCAGGACATCCTCAGGCCTCTGGCCTGGCCAGCCCTTGGGGCAGATGTTGCAGAGCACTGTTTTCAGTACTTGCCTTTGGGTGTACCTCCAGTTCCCCGAGGACAGGGCTCTGTTGTCCCCTAAAGGAACCGAGGTGCCCTAGTGCACTGAGCAGGTGCCCAGCAAACACTTAAGGAAGTGGATTTAGCGAATGCTAGAGAAGCAGTTTCTTCTAGGAATTACAGCAGCAGTCTAAAAAAATAATAACAAGCCAGATGCGATGGCTCACACTTATAGTCCCAGTGCTTTGGGAGGCTGAGGCAGGCAGATTTCTTGAGCTCAGGAGTTCAAGACCAGCCTGGGCAACATGGCGAAACCTCATCTCTACAAAAAATACAAAAATTAGCCGGGTGAGCTGCCGAGCACCTGTAATCCCAGCTACTCAGGAGGCTGAGGTGAGAGGATCACTTGAGCCTGGGAGGTGGAGGATGCAGTGAGCTGAGATTGTACCACTGCACTCCAGCCTAGGCGACAGAGTGAAACCCCATCTCAAAATAATAATAACAGACACTGCCCCAGAGCTTAGGGAAAAATTCATCTTAACTCATTACACCTCATGGAATGGATTTTGAACTTGAGATGAGTGAGAAGTCAGGAGTCAGCCCGGAAAGCATACATACAGTGCAGGGTTTAAAACGCTGGCTTTGGAATTGGGCAGAGCTGTGACTGAGTTCCAGTGCTAGCATGTGCCTGTGGCAAGCCAGTCATTGTCCCAACCTCACTTTCCTCTTCTGTGTAATGGGCATAATACTGGTCCCTACCTTCAGGGCGCTGTGAGTCAAATGAGGTCGCAGATGCACACAGTACCTGAGAAAAGGAAGTCCCTACCAGGGACTAATTCTTCCTCTGATTTGTTCTGTCTGTTTTTGTTTTTTTGTTTTTTTTCAATATTTTGGCCAGGCCCTGTGGTTCACGCTTGTAATCCCAGCACTTTGGGAGGCCGAGGCGGGCAGATCACTTGAGGCCAGGAGTTCGAGACCAGCCTGGCCAACATAGTGAAACCCCATTTCTACAAAAATACAAAAATTAGCTGGGTGTGGTGGCACGTGCCTGTAGTTCCAGCTACTCAGGAGGCTGAGGCACGAGAATCACTTGAACCCAGGAGGCGGAGGTTGCAGTGAGCGGAGATCATGCCACTGCACAACAAAGCAAGACTCTGTCTTAAAAAAAAAAGTATGTGTATGTATATATATATATATATATATATATATATGTGCGTGTGTGTGTATATATATATAAAAACTTTAATTTTTAGAATAGTTTTAGATTTTCAGAAAATTGCAAATATAGTGCAAAAAGTTCCCACATACTCTGCACCTAGTTTTCCTTATTATTAACATCTTCTTCTTATGATGATGATGGTACATTTGTTAGAATTAATAAACCAATATGGATACATTATTATTAACTACAGTCCGTATATTATTTGGATTTCCTTCATTTTTCTCTTCCAGGATCCCATCCAGGATCCCACATTATATTTAGTCATCTTGCCCTCCTTAAGCCCCCTTGGCTGTGGCACTTTCTATTTGTTTTTGACAAGGAAATATGTCATTGCCCCCAGCCTGGACCAAAGAAGGAGTTGGGACAGTTGATTTCTTGAAGCCCCTTGATACAGCATCAGCTCTCTCTCTTCCTTTAGTATCTTTTTGGGTTTAAAACCCAGCTTTTGGGGTGCTTGGTGTGCCCTTGATAAAGGAGTGAGATTGCAGATACCTAGGCTTCCAGGTCATAGGAAAGAAAAAGGATCCAAGATTGGGAAGGGGGCTGGGTGTCCTGATGCCTCCCACCTCATGCCATGGGTGATGGGACCTGCTGGCATGGCCCCGTCGTCCACTTCAGCGTCAGCTCCGCTAGTCCCGGCCTCACTAACCCAAGACCCAGGCAAAGGGGAGGGCTACTGCTGAGGCTGAGCTTGGTAGAGGACCCTCTCCCGGGCCTCATGCTGAGGGGCTTTTCCCAACCCTCCTTCTGAAGTTCTTTTCCTTTGTTTTTATTTATTTTTATTTTTATTTTTTGTAGACACAGGGTCACAGGGTCTCACTACATTGCCCAGGCTGGTCTCGAACTCCTGGACCCAAAATGATCCTCCCGCCTCGGCCTCTCAAAGTGCGGGGATTACAGGTATGAGCCACTCTGCCTGACCCCCTCTGTTTTTCCTTAACTTCATCCCACATCTGTCTGTCGGTTCCATTAGTTTCATCTGATGCCAGTTCCATCAGGGCAGGGATGTGCCTGCCCTGGTCCCCTCAGCCTGGCGCATAGTAGGTGTTACTAAAAAAAAAAAAAAAAAAAAAAAAAAAAATTCTGTTCTCATATCCCATGAGCATTGCCCAAACCACTGTTTATAGGATAAGAAACCACATTCTGGTTCCTAACTGAAAAATCTCCTATAGCTGGGCACAGTGGCTCACTCCTGTAATCCTGGCACTTTGGGAGGCTGAGGCAGGAGGATTGCTTGACCCAGGAGTTCAAGACCAGCCTGGGCAACATGACGAAACCATATCTCTACAAAAAATTCAAAAATAAGCCGGGTGTGTTGGTGCATGCTTGTAGTTCCAGCTATTCGGGAGGCTGAGGTAGGAGGATGGCTTGTCTCAAAAAGCAAACAAACAACACAACAGAAAATCACCTATAAACTGAATCTTTTTTAAGCCTATAAGAGAAGATTATGAACAAATATGCACTAATAAATTTGAAAATCCAAGTGAAGGAAGACACATTTCTAGAAAATAATATATAAGACCAAAATCCAGCAAGAAGAAATAGAAAACGTCATCAGACCAATAAATATTAGAGAAATTGAAATGGCAGCAAAAACTTCCCCTCCCCCAAAACTCAGACTCCAGTGGTTCTACAGATGAATTCCGCCAGAGTTTTAATACCAGTTGGCCGGGCGCGGTGGCTCATGTCTGTAATCCCAGCACTTTGGGAGGCCGAGGTGGGCGGATCACCTGAGGTCGGGAGTTCGAGAAAAGCCTGACCAACATGGAGAAACCCTGTGTCTACTAAAAATACAAAAATTAGCCAGGCATGGTGGTGGGCAACTGCAATCCTGGCTACTTGGGAGGCTGAGGCAGGAGAATCGCTTGAACCCAGGAGGCAGACGTTGCAGTGAGCCAAGATTGTACCATCACACTCCAGGCTGGGAAACAGAGAGAGACTCTGTCTCAAAAAAAAAAAAACAGTTAATTTCTAGCTCATACGAATTCTTTAAGAACCTATGAGAGAGTGAAAGTTACCTTATAAGGTTTGAGTAAGTTTGATTTCAAAGCTAGATCAGTACAATTTTTTATTTCATTTTATTATTATCATTTTTTTGAGACAGAATCTTGCTTCATTGCCAAGGATGGAGTGCAGTGGTACAAGTTTGGCTCACTGCAACCTCCACCTCCCAGGTTCAAGTGATTCTCGTGCCTCAGCCTCCTGACTAGCTGGGATTACAGGCATGAGCCACCACACTCAGCTAATTTTTTGTATTTTTAGTAGAGACAGGGTTTCACCATGTTGGCCAAGCTGGTCTCGAACTCCTGACCTCAAGTGATCTGCCTGCCTTGGCCTCCGAAAGTGCTGGGATTACAGGCAGGAGCCACTGCGCCCAGCTAATACAATTTTTTAAAAAAGAAAATTCTCAGCCTATTTTACTTATGAATGTAGATATAAAGAAGTCTAAATCAGGCCAGGTGCGGTGGCTCACACCTGTAATCCCAGCACTTTGGGAGGCCGAAGCAGGCGGATCACCTGAGGTCAGGAGTTCCAGACCAGCCTGGCCAACATGGTGAAACCCCATCAGTTAAAAAAAAAATAGTAGTCTAAATCAATATTATGTAGTAGAATCCAATAAGGCATTAAAATTATGCAGCATGACTGGCCGGGCGCGGTGGCTCAGGAGATCAAGACCATCCTGGCTAACATGGTGAAACCCCGTCTCTAGTAAAAATACAAAAAAAAATTAGCTGGGCGTGGTGGCGGGTGCCTGTAGTCTCAGCTACTCAGGAGGCTGAGGCAGGAGAATGGCGTGAACCCGGGAGGCGGAGCTTGCAGTGAGCCGAGATCGCGCCACTGCACTCCAGCCTGGGCGACAGAGCGAGACTCCATCAAAAAAATAATAATAATAATAATAATTATGCAGCGTGACCAAGGGAAGTTTATCTTAGGTGTGCAAGAATAGTTCAACAACAGAATATCTATCGGTGTCATTGAAAACATTAATGAGTGCTAGAAATGAGAAATTATGTGGCTATCTCAATTAATGCAGATAGAGCATTTGAAAAGGTTCAAATCCTACTTATAAGACAAAATGAAAGTCTTACCAATCTAGGGATAGAAAGGAGTTTCCTTGACTTGGTAATGGTTACGTAGCAAAAATCCTCTGACAAATGTTAACACTTATTAGAGGATTTTAGATGCATTTTCTTTAAGATCAGGAACAAGGAAAGAATCAATCAATCAACATTACTGTTTAAATGTAGAACTGGAGACCTTTGCCAATGTTACATGGAAAGAAAAAATATCAATTGGTAGAAAGACTAGAAGGAAAGAGTTAAAATATTTGCAGAGAAATTGCTTGTCTCCCTTGAAAACCAACTGGATCAACAGAAAACCTCTAGAACTCAAGAGAAAATTCAGCAATATTGCCAGATATAAAAATCAGTAGCGGGCAGGGCATGGTGGCTCACACCTGTAATCCCAGCACTTTGGGAGGCCAAGGCAGGCAGATCGCTTGAAGTTAGGAGTTCAAGACCAACCTGGCTAATAAAAATACAAAAATTAGCCAGGCATGGCGGTGCATGCCTGTAGTCCCAGCTACTCAGGAGGCTGAGGCATGAGAATTGCCTGGACCTGGGAGGTGGAGGTTGCAGTGAGCTGAGATCTGCACTCCAGCCTGGGTGACAGAGTAAGACTCTGTCTCAAAAAAAAAAAAAAAAAAAAAAAGATAATGAAAAGTCAGATACCATTCAAAACAGCAACAAAGCCCATAAAATACCCAGGAGTTTAACCTAGAACACACAAGACCTGTACAGCAAAAATCTTAAAATCTCTGAAGTATATAGAACTGCCCTGTTCAGTTTGATCACCTGTAGCCACATATAACTGTAACGATTAAATTAAATTAAAACTCCAGGTCCTCAATCACACTTGCCACGTTTCTATTGCTCCGTAGCCTCAGGCAGCTAGCGGCTACCATAATGAGCAGCTCAGGTATAGGACATTTCCATCATCACAGAACGTTCTCTTTGACAGAATTGACACAGAAGATGATTTTAATAAATATATAGCCCAGAGCAAAGATCGCATAGGTGAACTTGGTGGCTTGTCTTCAAATATTTGCAGAATTGCCACATTGACAAGAGATAACATGTATTTGTTTGACCTCTGATGATGGGGCTGGAATCATCACAGGTCAGATTTGGGTTCAGTCAAAGCTGCTGAGGAATGGAATGGTAATGTCTTCTGTGGTAATGAACTCTCCATCATGGGAGATAATCAAGGCTGAGCTGTTGCATTGGGGGTTCTTTCTTTTTTTTTTTTTTTCAGACAGGGTCTCACTCAGTCACCCAGGCTGGAGTGCAGTAGTGCGATCTTGGCTTACTGCAGCTTCCTTCTCCTGGGTTCAAGTGATTCTTGTGCCTCAGCCTCCCGAGTAGCTGGGACTACAGGTGTGCACCACCACGCCTAGCTAAGTTTTGTGTTTGTTGTTGTTGTTGTTGTTGTTGTTTGAGATGAAGTCTTGCTGTTGTCCCCCAGGCTGGAGTGCAATGATGCGATCTCGGCTCACTGCAACCTCTGCCTCCTGGGTTCAAGCAATTCTCCTGCCTCAGCCTCCTGAGTAGCTGGGATTACAGGCACCTGCCGCCATGCCCAGCTGATTTTTGTATTTTTAGTAGAGACGGGGTTTCACCATATTGCCCAGGCTGGTCTTGAACTCCTGACCTCAAGTGATCTGCCCGCCTTGGTCTCCCAAAGTGCTGGAATTACAGGCGTGAGCCACCACGCCTGGCCGGGAGTGATTTCTGGAACTGTTTCATGATCAGAGCAGAGGAGGCCTGGATAGCATCTGAGATCCCTTCCATTTGAAAATCTCTGACCCCGCATATTGTTTCAGCTCTGGGAGTGGACAAATTCCTCAGTGAGCCAGGGGTCTCAGAGAGCAACAGTCAAAGCATTTCTAAAATACAGCATCATGTTTTCAATTAAAGTGTGTCTATTTCTTCAAAATAGGTAATCATGATAGCTACTGTTTATTGAGAACCTACTGTGAGCCAGGTATTGGGCCAAACACTTTCTATACATTATCTCATGTTGTTCTTTGAATAACTGAAACAGATAGTGTTCTCATTTAACTGATTAAAAAACTAAGGCTCAGAGAAGGTAAGTGACTTGCTCAAGGTTTCACAGGAAATAAAAGGGCAACACTAGACTTTAAGCCCCAGTCTCTGTGAATCCAAACCCCATGCTCCCCACCAACCCTAACACTGTGCAGGTGGTGGGGGGGGGTGTCTCTGCTTCCTGAGGGACATCAAATACAGGCTAGATTGGCCTCCAGAAGGTTGTAGGAAGACTGGAAACTGAAATCAAGGGCTCTCCAGTCTTCTAGAGGATTAAAGATCCTTAACTTGTTAAAAAACATTTCTAGGTCAGGCACAGAGGCTCGCGCCTGTAATTCCAACACTTTGGGAAGCTGAGGTGGGAGGACTGCTTGAGGCCAGGAGTTCAAGACCAGCCTGGGCAACATAGCAAGATCCCTATCTCTACCAAAAAAAAAAAATCTAAAAAAAATTAGCCAGGCATGGTGGTGTGGCCCTGTAGTCTCAGCTACTCAGGAGGCTGGGGTAGGAGGATCACCTGGGCCAGAGGCCACAGTAAGCTATGATCACATCACTGCACTCTGGCCTGGGCAACAGAACCAAGACTCTGTCTCAAAAAATAAACACACAAACAAACAAACAACCATTTCTAGATGTTCAATGTATTATTGGGGTGTCAGGAAAAGGCTGGGGACACCTTAGCTGTTTCCTCATGAGTTTTTAGGGAAGGGCTCTTTCTGGATCTAGCCTTGAGCTTCTATTTACCTCCTCTTCTTGCAGCTCGAAACTTTGACCTGCAGAAATCCGAAGACATGCTCCGAAGGGTAAGGATCTGTGATCCCTACTGCCCTGCCTTCCATGCACTGTGACCCAGGGATTTGCTGCAAAAGGGTAGAGACTCTGGCCCTGTCCCATTCTCCTGTTTCTTCTTTCTTCCTCCCCCGATCTCTTTCTGCATCAGACCCAAGTCCCCCCAGCCCACCTCCTGTCCCCACGCTCTGAGAGCCTGGGTATGCTGTGGTGGGATCTTGGTGGCTGTGGGCAGAGGGACCTAGCCTGGTGTCCCCAGGTTCCTGCAAAATCCTATAGCTCCTGCTGTGTTCCTGCAGCACATGGAGTTCCGGAAGCAACAAGACCTGGACAACATTGTCACATGGCAGCCCCCTGAGGTGAGCCTCGAGCAGCATCCCCCAGGCCATCTGAGGCCCCTCACCCCTGACATCTCCCACCTACCACGTCCAGCCACCTGATGGAGTAGGGACCCAGCCTGGTGAGCTGGATTGAGTCGGGACCTTACCCACACTTCCAGGTCATCCAGCTGTATGACTCGGGTGGTCTTTGTGGCTACGACTACGAAGGCTGCCCTGTGTACTTCAACATCATTGGGTCCCTCGACCCCAAGGGTCTCCTGCTGTCAGCCTCCAAGCAGGATATGATCCGGAAGCGCATCAAAGTCTGTGAGCTGCTGTTGCATGAGTGTGAGCTGCAAACTCAGAAGGTGAGCAGCGGGGGTGGGGCTGGGCCTCATCTGTCTACAGGGTGGCACCAGGACCAGAGAAGGGTGGCACCCTGCCCCTCCCCAGCCCTCAGCACCCAGGGCTCTGGTGGAATGTGGGCTTCTCCCACCCTTACCCACCCGTAAAAGTGAGGTGTTGTCCATCTGTCTGGAAAACGCTGTGGGCTGCCAGAGGGTGGGATGGCAGGAAGGTGGGGAGAGGTGCCCAAGTCTCTCTGGCCAGGATCTCCTGGCTGGAGCTGTCGTCTGACCTATATGACTCTGTCCCAAGCAGCTGGGCAGGAAGATCGAGATGGCGCTGATGGTGTTTGACATGGAGGGGCTGAGCCTGAAACACCTGTGGAAGCCAGCTGTGGAGGTCTACCAGCAGGTAAGGTGGGTGGCTGGCTTGGGGCTGGTGTGGGCAGTGGCTCCCAGCTGTGAGCCCTAGCTGTGAATTGATGTGAGAATCCAGTGAGATAGAGGGGTGGGGATGCCTTGCAGGGGCTCCACAGACCAGCCAATGATGCTGGCCTAGAGACCACCCTCCACGGAGAAAGGGGAGCAAGATTAACACAAAGAGGCCAGGCGTGGTGGCTCACGCCTGTCATCCCAGCACTTTGGGAAGCCAAGGTGGGAAGATTCCTTGAGCAGGAGTTCAGGATCAGCCTGAGCAACACAGTGAGATGTCATCTCTACCAACAATAATAATAATTTTTACATTAGCCCAGTGCAGTGGCACGTGCCTGTAGTCCTAGATACTTGGGTGGCTGAGGCGGGAGGATCTCTTGAACCCAGGAATTCAAGGTCGCAGTGACCTGTGATTGTGCCACTATACTCCACCTTGGGAGACAGAGTGAGACCCTGTCTCGAGAACAAATCAACAAACAAAAAAAGAATAACAGAGAGGAAGAGGCACATGCTTGTGGGGAAGGTAGGATGGGCCAGGGATGGGCCTCTTGTCTCAGCAGCATCAGAGGCCACAGAAACCCATGGGCGGGAGGTGATGGAACAGAGCCCCAACCAGACTCATCTTGACTCCACAGTTTTTTAGCATCCTGGAAGCAAATTATCCTGAGACCCTGAAGAATTTAATTGTTATTCGAGGTAAGCCCATGACCGGGATGACCTCCTGGGGAGGGAGAAGCAGGAATTGGGGGTACAGTAGGTAAGCCATGGAGTTAAAGGCTTCTTCACCCATCCTTTGTGAAGAACCAGGTTTTGTGTGGTTGGTTTCTGGTTAGTTAGTTATTGAGATGGAGTCTCCCTCTGTCACCCAGGCCGGAGTGCAGTGGCATGATATTGGCTCACTGCAACCTCCGCCTCCTGGGTTCAAGCAATTCTCCTGCCTCAGCCTTCCTAGTAGCTGGGATTACAGGTGCACGCCACCATGCCTGGCTAATTTTTGTATTTTTAGTAGAGATGGGGTTTCCCTATGTTGGCCAGGCTGGTTTTGAACTCCTGATCTCAAGTCATCCAGCCACTTCGGCCTCCCACAGTGCTGGGATTATAGATGTGAGCCACCGCACCCGGCCTCTGGCTTTATTTTTTAGTTTCAGTCCTTCACAGACTGATATTTTTGTAATATACAAAATCATGCACTGGTATGTTTCAGCAATGTCAAGTTATAAGTTTCTAAATGTTTACTGTTACTTACTTATGTCAGTGTGGGCTGGGAACAGATAGTCCATGGACCACACTAGTGGATGGACACACTTTGAGCGGGAATGGTCCCTGGCTGCCCTGGTGATGTCATGTGTTCCAGAGTCAGAGGATCTGGTTCAAATCTAACTAGCTCTATGATTTTATCCAAGTCTACTTAACCTCACTGAGCCTCAGTTTTCCCATTATGTAAGATGGGGATACAATAGCCCCCTCCTCAAAGATAACTATGAGGTTAAATGAAACAGTGTGTGGAGAAGATGGAGCACAGAGCTTGGCCCACAGACAGTGCTCAGTTGAGTGTGAGCAATTCAGGGCAGGACAGGAAGTCTCATGTAGATGTCACACCCAAGAAGATTCCAGACAACCTGGAGTGTGGAAAAGAAGTGATACTGTTGGGGAATCAATATTGCTGACCCTAGAGCCAGCTTGTGCCCAATCCCTTACAACTGGGTTGGGGAGACAGCCATTTTTCTTTTTCTTTTTTCTTTTCTTTTTTTTTTTTTTTTTTGAGATGGAATCTCACTCTCTCACCCAGGCTGGAGTGCAGTGGCGTGATCTTGGCTCACTGCAACCTCTGCCTCCCAGGTTCAAGCAATTCTTGTGCCGCTGCCACCCGAGTAGCCGGGATTACAAGCATGCACCACTACGCTCAGCTAATTTTTGTATTTTTAGTAGAGACGGAGTTTCACCATGTTGGCCAGGCTGGTCTTGAACTGCTGGCTTCAAGTGATCTGCCTACCTCAGCCTCCCAAAGTGCTGGGATTTCAGGCATGAGCCACTGCGCCTGGCCTGAGACAACCATTTATTGAAAGCCAGGAACTGTGCCAGGTGTTATACATACATTATTTCACCTTCATTTTCCAGTTAACTGCACTAAGACTTGGAGAGGGTGGGTAACTTGCTGAAGGTCACACAGCAGAGAGTGGCAGAATCCATATCTGTCCACCTCCTGTCCAGCACCTGCTCTTGGCTGTGGCTCTGTATCCCCACGTCCTTTCTGGTCCAGCTTCTCAAGAGATTTACATGTGTTTCAGCCCCAAAACTGTTCCCCGTGGCCTTCAACTTGGTCAAGTCGTTCATGAGTGAGGAGACACGCAGGAAGATTGTGATTCTGGGAGGTGAGCGACGTGGCCCCCTGGTTGTGTCCATCTGCCTGGGAAGCAGAGGTCAATGCTAAAGACCCTGCTTCTCCCTGGCTCGTCCTCTACTCGGGCACTACCCCTGGCCTGACCCTGGTGAGCCTCCACACGCACGGGCAATGCCTTGGGTCCTAGACCGTGGGCTGGGAGCCACATAAAGGTCTTGGGTACTCTTAGGAGTAGGTGCCCGGGGGAGCACGCCCAGGACATATCAGGTTCCCTCACCAAGCTCAGCCCCCTCTGCCCTCTGTTGAGTCTCCTGAGTCCCTTTGGAGTCCCTCTCTTGCTCCCATGCAGACAACTGGAAGCAGGAGCTGACAAAATTCATCAGCCCCGACCAGCTGCCTGTGGAGTTTGGGGGGACCATGACTGACCCCGATGGCAACCCCAAGTGCCTGACCAAGGTACAGGGTGCCCAGAGGATGGGGAAGGAGGGGAGAAGCTGTGATCTAGTGCCCACACACCCCCTTCACCCACAGATCAACTATGGGGGTGAGGTGCCCAAGAGCTACTACCTGTGCGAGCAGGTGAGGCTGCAGTATGAGCACACGAGGTCCGTGGGCCGCGGCTCCTCCCTGCAGGTGGAGAACGAGATCCTGTTCCCGGGCTGTGTGCTCAGGTAGGGATGGCAGCCACTCTACACCTGGGCACATCTGGGAGGGGCCTGGAGCCCAGGCAGGGGGTCGCCAATGGGGCTCTATCCACTGCAGGTGGCAGTTTGCTTCAGATGGTGGGGACATCGGCTTTGGGGTTTTCCTGAAGACCAAGATGGGGGAGCAGCAGAGTGCTAGGGAGATGACGGAGGTGCTGCCCAGCCAGCGCTACAATGCCCACATGGTGCCTGAGGATGGGAGCCTCACCTGCCTCCAGGCTGGCGTCTGTAAGAGCTGCGGGGTTTACTGGAATTGTTTTCCCTGCCAGTCTCCCCTCTGCTTGCCCTCTCTTTCCAGCTCTCGGGAGGGTGGGGGGATCTCTGTAAGCTCCAGGGGAGCCAGCTTTGGGGCCATGGATCAGATGAGTGGCCCCTACCTGTAGGTATGAGGGCAGAGATTCATTGTGGGGGAAGAGCTGGTATTCAGAACCTAGGGCCTTGGGCTCAGCTCCTAAGAAGCCCCTATACCGGGATCACTGGACTAAGAGACAGGTAAGTAAGAGGCCATGGACTTAGAGTCAGGGGTCTTGGCAAGGGGACCACCCAGTTGCATGAACCACCCCACTCCAGGAGTCCCAAAGAGGTGACTTCCTCCAGGTGCTTATCATTCACCCCCAGGCCTTCCAGGCCAGATGCAGCTCAGTCAGCTTTACCAGAAGTAGCATTGCTCAGGGACACCACTGCCCTTCCACATCTATTGGGAACAGAGCTAGGAGAAGGGGAACCCAAGGTTGATTTCCTATGGAGGAGAAGGGTGTGGCTTATGCTTAAGTCAACACATTACCTTATTTCATTTTGTGGAAAGGGAGCATTAGGAGAGTAGAGACAGACAAGTCTGCACGACTCATCACACCTGAGTTCATGTTGGACCTTGGCATTGAAGGACATGCCTTCTGTGAGACGGAAAGCGGCTTATGTAGCCCAGCCCATTCCTCCTGGGGTAGCAGGGCTCCTCCCTGGGTTGGGACATCTGGATAAAGGAATCCCAGTACCTCCCCTCCCTTGCTCTGTGACCGCTGAAAGATCATATCACCTCTCCAAGCCTCAGTTTTCTCCTCTGTAAAATGAGGATGACATTGCCTTCCACATGGGGCTGCTTTGAGGATTCAGGGGCTATAATGTGTGATGGAATCCATGGTTCATGGAGAGGCCCAAGAGCTACCTGTGCAACCGCAACTAGGCGAGGACGCAGTACGAGCATACTGTGTCCGTGGGCCACAGCTCCTCCCTGCAGGTGGAGCTCGAGATCCCGTTCCCAGGCCGCCTGCTCCCTGGCTGTGTGCTGTTCTATATGCTGATGACCATCATGATTCCTTCATGTAGCGCAAGCCACCATGGAGATGGCAGCGAGCAATGGGCTTAGGGCTGGGCACAGGCTGGCCCTCAGGCCCCACCCACTGTCCTGGACAGCTCATTTCCAAGGGTTCCAGGGATGCAGGACGTTCCAGGGATGCAGCTCATTCCCAAGGGTTCCAGGGATGCACCCATGCAGGGCTGGCTCTTCCTGCAGATGTGCGGGGTTTGTGCTCCCTGATCACCTCTCCATCACTGCAGATGTCCTGCGCTTCGACAACACCTACAGCCGGATGCATGCCAAGAAGCTCAGCTACACTGTGGAGGTGCTGCTTCCCGACAAGGCCTCTGAGGAGACGCTGCAGAGTCTCAAGGCGATGAGACCCTCCCCAACACAGTGAAGACCCCAGCCACCTCTACCTGTGCACTCCAACCCCTTCACACCCACCCCTCTGACCCCTGCCTTCCCAGGCAGGGTGGTGCTGGAGGTGGCTGCAGAGAGCCACTTGTCCCACGTCACCATTTCATCTCATTGTAGGCTCACCTGGCACAGTGGCCAAGCAGGAAGGGGCCACCAGTGCATAGCCCATGCTGAAGATTCAGACAGGAACCTCTTTCCCTGTTCCCAGAGAATGCGGCTGAGAATGAGAACGCTGAAGATGATCCAGTCCACTGAGGATGGGTCCTGCTTGCAGAAGCTGCCCTTTCACCCATCTTGACAAGATCCAGCCACCCAGGACTCACCCATGCCTGGTGTTCCAGCTTCAGGGGGTGTGCGTGGTTCCTAGGTCCTGTGGACATCACAGCTTCAGGCCTGAAGAGCAGAGAAGCCCTGTTCTCTGCATGTAGGAGGTCAGCAGGGGTGGGCAGGCCCAGCTGGAGGCAGCTGGGTGAGGGTCCTGGTTCCAGCAGAGCACTGGGGCCCATCCAAGTTTGTTCTGCCACCACTGGATGGAAAATTGGAAATGGACTGGGCGTGGTGGCTCACGCCTATAATCCCAGCAGTTTGGGAGGCTGAGTTGGGCAGATCACCTGAGATCAGGAGTTCGGGACCAGCCTGGGCAACATGGTGAAACCCTGTCTCTACTAAAAATACAAAAATTAGCCGGGCATGGTGGCGTGCACCTGTAATCCCAGCTACTCAGGAGGCTGAGGCAGGAGAATCGCTTGTACCCAGGAGGCGGAGGTTGTAGTGAGCTGAGATCGTGCCACTGCACTCCAGCCTGGGCAACAGAGCCAGACTCCGTCTCTAAACAAACAAACAAACAAACAAACAAATAAAGAAAGAACATTGGACATGGAGAGGTGGGGCCTGGCATGGGTAACCATCAGAGGAAAAAGCCATGCTCAGCCTTCCAGTTGAGTGGGTAACGACTGAGTCTCCAGGGAATTCCCAGTGACCTCCCCTCCACACCTGCTGTGATCCTGCCAACATTTAGCTTTGGTTCTCTTGGCAGCTGCACCATTCATGGGTGCATATACGTAGAGTCTGAACAGGTGCTCTGCTGCTAGAAACAGCAAACCATCTAGATTAAACTCCTAAAGCCAGTGCCACGAGGCATTCCTGTTCCAACTGGGTGTTTGAGCAGATTGGCAAAAAAAAAAAAAAAAAAAAAAATGGCTGCGCTGGCTCCAAGGAGATGGCCTGGGCTGTCGGGCAAGAGTCACAGGACATCCCCATGTCCAGGGGCTGCCTCTGCATCGGAGATGTGACAGGCATCCCCACTACCCTGTTGCACTGCATGGCCACGCTGTCTGCTGCTTTCCCAGATGCAGTGATATTTGGAGTGCCCAGAGGCACTTGGGCTTCCATGGCAGGCTGTGGCCAACTGGAGCCGGGAGGACCTGTGCTAAATTTCACAAGGCCCACCGGTTGTCATGATGGGGGATTGTAATGCCTCACTTCAGCTTTGACATCCTCTGCCTTGATGTCCTCTGCCTAAAAACCAGGGGTTCCTAGACTTGAACTCTGATTCTTGCCCATGTAACTACAGCCGATTTTCCATCAGCACAGCCTTGTCTGGTTTCCTTGCAGGCAGCAAGGATTGCTCTGCCCCATGCACAAGTGTTTCCTGAGACTCTGATCACAGGGCCGTGATCACAAATACGGGCTGGCTGCGGGGGTGGCAAACAAAAATGGGGTCAGGTGCAGGCACTAGTGACTGAATTGCAGTGAGCAGTGATCGCCTGCAGAGGTGAGAGCAGAATCTCCTACCAATTCAGGAGGGGAGGGGCACACTGGGAGCTCAGCAGGGAGCAGGGGCACATGTCCTCAGCAACCCATTTCCAATTATTTTTTTTCTTTTCTTTTCTGAGATAGAGTCTCTGTTGCCTAGACTGGAGTACAGTGGCGCGATCTCAGCTCACTACAACATTCACCTCCCAGGTTCAAGCGATTCTCCCACCTCAGCCTCCCGAGTAGCTGGGACTACAGACATGCACCACCACACCTGGCTGATTTTTGTATTTTTAGTAGAGATGGGGTTTCACCATGTTGGCCAGGCTGATCTCAAACCCCTGACCTCAAGTGATCTGCCTGGCTCAGCCTCCCAAAGTGCTGGGATTACAGGTATGAGCCACCATGCCTGGCCTCCATGTCTAATTTTTAACACTGTCACTTTTTTACAAAACTGAAAAAAAAAAGTCACCCAGAGAGGGGCAGTGGCTTGCCCAAAGTTTGTTTCTTCATTTATTCACTCATTGATATTAATTTAATTTAATTTAATTTTTTAAAAGTAGAGACAGGCCGGGCGCGGTGGCTCACGCCTGTAATCCCAGCACTTTGGGAGGCCGAGGCGGGCAGATCACGAGATCAGGAGATGGAGACCATCCTGGCTAACACGGTGAAACCCTGTCTCTACTAAAAATACAAAAAATTAGCTGGGCGTGATGGCGGGCACCTGTAGTCCCAGCTACTCGAGGGGCTGAGGCAGGAGAATGACGTGAATCTGGAGGCGGAGCTTGCAGTGAGGCGAGATCACGCCACTGCACTCCAGCCTGGGCGACAGAGCGAGATTCCGTCTCAAAAAAAAAAAGAAAAAAAAGTAGAGACAGGGGTCTTGCTATGTTGCCCAGGCTGGTCTTGAACTTCTAGGCTCAAGCCATCCTCCCTGCCTCAGCTTCCCAAAGTGCTGAGGTCACAGGTGTGAGCCACTGAGCCCGGCCTGATTTTGGGTGTTTATTGAGTATCTGCCCAGCACCAGGCATGGCAGACTCTGGGGACACCGAGGACCCTGGGCTGACCCAACTGTATTAACCGGAGGTTTGCGCTCATGGAGGGAGGGAGGTGGAAGTGACACCAGTGATCAGTTATCAAGTGGGTGCATTGTCACCATGCATGCTTGGTTGGGGGCAGGAGCCAAACTCTGGGGGAGCACCCAGCCAAGAAACCTGACAAGGGGTCACGTATGCTTTGTCCAAGGAGGAGGTGACCCTGAAGGGAGAGCTGTCGGATGTGCGGGATGATGGCAGGCGAGCCTTCCAGACAGGAATGGGGGGTGGGCGGTCAGTGGGGCAGGGGTGTCAGAGGCCAAAGGAAAGCTGGAAGGGCTCTCCCAGCCTGGGGCAACGCTGGTAACAACTCACTGGTATTTCCTATTTCTTCATGGATAACTGTGTACACATTAAATAGTTATTAATAATTAATAAAACCATTTTATAATGCCGGTTACAAAACAGCCGTGTAGTTTGTCAGGAAAGAATGGCAAAATCTTGGCAGGAGGCCACAGATCAAAACTCTTGCTCAAAATGAGGCAATTGGAAATACCCAGGCCTCACCTGTCCAGATAATGGAGGTGGGACCTGCTCTCCCTAGCCCATCTCCTCCCTGGAAGTCCCCACAGTCTTTGGGGAGAAGCAGGTGAGGAGGGCAGCAGGTCAAGGACCCATGGGCGTGTTTTCCTTTTTTTTTTTTTTTTTTTTTGAGATAGGGTCTTACTCTGTTTCTCAGGCTGGAGTGCAGTGGCCCAGTCATAGATCACTGCAGCCTTGAACTCCGGCAAAAACCATCCTTTTGCCTCAGCATCCTGAGTAGCTGGGACCACAGGTGTGCACCACTGCACCTGGCTAATTTTTTTTTTTTGGAAATGGGGTCTCACTATGTTGCCCAGACTGGTCTCGAACTCCTGGCCTGAAGTGGTCCTCCCACCTTGGCCTCCCAAAGTGTTGGAATTACAGGCGTGAGCCACCACCCCAGGCCCCAGGGTTGCGGGTGTTTCAATGGCTGTTGGAGAGGCTCACCTGCCCCAGCCCACCTCACTGCCCAAGGAGCCCAAGCTAGGGAGGACACCACTGTAAGAAAGTCTAGGCAGGTGCTCAGAGTAGGTCTTCACCAGAGCTTCATGGCACAGCACTCCACAGTTTGCACAGCCGCTTCACATTAAGTCCTGAAGCAGACAGAGATTATAGCCCCATTTTACAGGCCAGGAAACCGAAGCTCAGCAGGGGGCAGTGCCTTGGCCAAAGCCTCTGTGTCCAGTGAACCAGTACCCAGGTCAGCTGCCGCTGGTGCCCCCAGCCTGCAGTAGGGGAGACGAGGGTTGATGGCGTGTGGGCCCCTGCAGGGAAGGCCAGTGTGGGGCAGGGGGCCACACAGTGGGACAAAGTGAGGTGCTGGGTTCCTGGGGTGGAGGGAAGGCCCAGGATTGGGAGAAAGCTGCTCAGACGTTTGTGCATCTCGGTGGGAAGTGATGGTGCCAGCTCCATGCCCAAATACCGACTGTGAGCCAGGCCCAAGCTGAGGCAGGAAGCACCATCCGCAGCCTACAGATGAGGAAAGTGAGGCTCAGGGCAGGAAGTGAATTATCACATCACACAACACAAAGCGGGAGAGGTAAGCCGTGAATCTGTGTCCATCTACCAGACCGCACACTTGGTGTGCGGGTAGGGAGGAGGCCCGGCCCAAACTGAGCGATGCTCAGGGGACTTCTGCTTTTAACCACCAGGGGGCAGTGTTGGGCCAGCCGCACCCCTGTCCACCAGGAGCGTGAACTGGGGTGGCCCTTAGCATGGGCTCATTGGAAGGTTACTTTCCAGGCCGGTTGAAGCCAAGTTCACCAGGCCCAGGCTGTTCGTGGGGCCACCTGGAGTGGCGGAAAAAGGCAGCCTGACCTCGTTTTAGATCCTGGGTCTGTCACTTGCAGGCTCCGTTTCTTTTTCTTTTTCTTTTTTTTTTGAGACAGGGTGTCACTCTGTTGCCCAGGCTGGAGTGCAGTGGTACAATCATCACTGTAGCCTCGACCTCCTGGGCTCGGGTGATCCTTCCACCTCACCTCCTGAGTAGCAGGGACTACAGGTGTGCACCACCATGTTTAGCTAATTTTTTATTTTTTGTAGAGATAGGGTTTTGTTATGAAGCCCAGGCTGGTCTTGAACTCCTGGACTCAAGCAATCCTCCCACTTTGGCCTCCCAGAGTGCTGGGGTTACAGGTGTGAGCCACCGTACCCTCTCTGTGCCCATTTCTACCCACTCCTGTCCAGATTCCGCAGGGCAGCCAGAATAAAATCTTTCTGAAATGCAAATCTGATCACATCATTCTCTGCATAAGCCCTTCTCTAGTGCCCCACGTACCCCTGGGTAAAATCAGCCTCAGTGGTAGCTTGCAAGGCCCTCTGCAACCTGGCCACTGCACCCCAGTTCCAGACACATCCCATGACTTAAATTCACCAATTCATCAAGCTCTTTCCTGCCCCTCTGCCTTTGCTCATGCTGTACCTTCAGCCTAGGACTCCCTCTCCAACCTTGTTAAATGCACGCTCAAGGGCACTGGAACCCTGTCTTGAAAGGCCTTCCCTAGGCCACACCGCCACCCAGGCCCTATCAGTTAGGGTCCCTTCCCCACACCCCAGCTGCACTTCCCAGAGGTTCCAAAAAAAAACCAGATACCATTTACTAAGCACCTGCATAAGCTTGTGGCTCTATCTATGCCACTTTGTTTAATCTTCATGGCAGCCTTATAAAATAAACATAGACCAGGTGCGGTGGCTCACACCAGTAATCCCAGCACTTTGGGAGGCCGAGGCGGGCGGATCATGAGGTCAGGAGATCGAGACCATCCTAGCCAACATGGTGAAACCCCGCCACTACTAAAAATACAAAAATTAGCTGGGCATAGTGGCACACACCTGTAATCCCAGCTACTCGGGAGGTTGAGGCAGGAGAATTGCTTGAACCGGGGAGGTGGAGGTTGCAGTGATCCGAGATCGCGCCACTGCACTCCAGCCTGGTGACAGAGTGAGACTCTGTCTTAAAATAAAATAAAATAAAATAATAAAATAAACATAATTATTCCTGTTTTACAGGAGAGGAAAGTAAGGCTCAGAAACAGACATTTGCTCAGTGGTGGCACCAGGGTTGGAACTCAGGATGTCTGACTCCAGAGACTCCATGTGCCTTCCTGGACCATTTACCACCAGAGCCATGTGCTTCCCTGGACCGTCCACACCCAGGTTGGGTCATGCCAAGAGCACCGCCAAAGGGCAGAGTCTGGCAGCATGACCCACTACTTCAGAGAGACCCAAGAAGAGGGTAGAGCAGGGTAGCCACAGAACAGGGGAGAAGCAACAGGAAAGAATGGGCTCGCCTAGCTGTGTCCTAGTCTTGGAGCTGAAAGCAGGCTGGGTGACTAGCCTCGTAATAGCGGTAAAGGCCTACACTGTTGATCACTTACCATGTGCTAGGCAGTAGGTGAGGTAGCTTATTGGTCTCTTCTACACTGGTCATCTCAGTACCCTGTAAGAAGGAGATGTTACCAGCTTCAATTTCCTTGTGAGACTCAAGATCACACAACACATTAGAGGTGAAGTTAAGATTCAAATCCAGATAGCCAGGCCCATGTTTCAGCAGCATCCATTTCTGAACTATTTGTGGATTATTTGCCCAGGGTTGGGAGAGGAATGACAACTGCTTGGGCTCTTTTGTTGGTGATCACCCTCAGACCCAGGTCCTCTCCCCAGTAGCCTTAGGCACTACAGGCTTTCCACAAATGCCAATGAAAACAGAGACCAGTTTGGCATGAAGAATTTGGGACACTTGATGCCCTTTGGGTAACCCCAGGCATTGTGGGAAGAGATGTGCCAGCTCCAACCCTAGACAACATACAAATTAAGGCCTCTTTCACTTTATAGAATCATTCACTGTCCTCCCCCATGTTCCTGTAACCATAGCAACCCATTCCTGTAATAAATAGCAAGGGTGTTGTATGAAAGAGGAAAGGGAAATCCTTATGAACTTGACCAGGATTTGTGTTCCCACCTCAGAGGTCTTTGGAGTCTTCTCCAGAGTGTCTTGACTTCTTGGTGGCCATTGGTATTGCGTAGTACAGACAGCAGCAGCAGCAGTATCATCAACATCGTCATCATGATCATACTTAATTTTAATTTCTGAGAGAAGAAGGGAGATGAAACTAAGCAATAAAGAATCTGTATCAAGGCCAGGCACAGTGGCTCATGCCTGTAATCCTAGCACTTTGGGAGGCCGAGGCAGGCAGATTGCTTGAGCTCAGGAGTTTGAGACCATCCTGGGCAACCTGGTGATACCATGCACCACCATGCCCAGCTAATTTATTTTTGTATTTTTAGTAGAGACGAGGTTTCACCATGTTGGTCCGGCTAGTCTCGAACTCTTGACCTCAAGTGATCAACCCACCTCGGCCTCCCAAAGTGCTGGGATTACAGGTGTGAGCCACCGTGCCTGGTCCAATAGATAGACATTTTTAAAGTTTGACTAGACATTTCTCCATAGACAATATACAAATGGCCAATAAGCACATGAAAAGATGCTCAATTGCATAGTTGTTGGAGAAATGCAATTCAAAACCACAATGAGATACCACTTGACAGCCACTACAATGGCTATGATAAAAAAAAAAAAAGCAAATGGAAAATAACAAAAGATGTGAACGATGTTGGCAAGGATGTGAAGAAATTGCGGCCCTCATACACTGCTAGTGGGAATGTAAAATAGTGTAGCCACATTGGAAAATAGAAAGGCAGTTCCTCAAAGGTTAAATATAGAATCACTATACAAGCCAGCAATTCCACTCCTAAGGTTATACCCAAAAGAAGTGAAAACCTATGTTCCCACAAAAACTGATACAAAACATAGTCATACCAACATTATTCATAATAGCCAAAAAAGCGGAAATAACCCAAATGTCCATCAACTGATGAACAGATAAACAAAACGTGGTCTATCCATAGAATAGAAGATTATTCAGCCATGTAAAGGAATGAAACACTGATCCATGCTACGGCATGGATGAACCTTGAAGACATTATGCTAAGTGAAAGAAGCCAGACACAAAAGACCACGTACTATATGATTCCATTCATATGAAATATCCAGAATATGGACATCTGTAGAGATAGAAAATAGATTCCTGGCTGTCAGGGGCTGGAACAGAGCAGGAAATAGGAAATGAATGCTGCTGAGTACAGAATTATTTGAGGGTGAGGTGATGCGAATGTTCTGCAATTAGATAGTGGTGATAGTTGCAAAACCTTGTGAATATATTAAGTACCACTGAATTGTACACTTTGGGAATGATTGCTCTGACTCACCGCAGGCTGTTCACCCTCTCTGGATGGCGGTACCACTGCCCCCGCCCTCCTGCTCCTGCTGCTGCTGCTGCTTTTTGCAGGCACCCCCACCACCCCTGAGTCAATCCAAGAAACTGAGGTCATCAACCCAGGACCGCCTAGGGGCCAAACTTCTCCAGATCCCTACTGGAAGACTCTGGATGTGGGTGTTGGGGGCAGGAACCTGATGACTCTGAGCTCTCTGGCTCTAGAGATATTGATGAGTCAAGGGACCCCAAGATCATCCCTGAAGTGATCCAACCCTTGGTGCTTCTAGATAACCACATCCCTGAGAGGGCAGGGCCTGGGAACCTGGTCCCACTGAAACCAAGGAACTGGAGGACAACGAGGTCATCCCCAGGAGGATCTCACTCTCTGCGGGGGACCAGGATGTGTCCAATAAGGCACCCATGTCCAACACTGCCCAGGGCAGCAACATCTTTGAGAGAATGGAGGTCGTGGCAGTCCTGATTGTGGACAGCATCGCGGGCATCCTCTCTGCTGTTTTCCTGATCCTGCTTCTGGTGAACCATATGAAGAAGGATGAAGGCAGAAACGACCTGAGCAGGAAGCCCATCTACAAAAAAGCCCCTAGCAAGGAGTTATTACGCTTCTTCTATGAGCACTGGTTTGGACTTTAGGGGATAGGGAAGTCGGAGGATTTTGCAGAGTGGCCATTAGGATGCGGGAGGACAACCTAATAGTGTCTTGTTAGTATCTCCAGTTCCGGTTATCTTTATATATATTTATTATTATTTTTAAGACACGGTCTTGCCGTGTTGCCCAGGCTGGAGTGCAGTGGAGTAATCTTGGCTAACTGCAACCTCCACCTCCCCGATTCAAACAATTCTCCTGCCTCAGCCTCCCGAGTAGCTAGGACCACAGGCATGCACCACCACACCTGGCTAATTTTTGTATTTTTAGTAGAGACGGGGTTTTGCCATGATGGCCAGGCTGGTCTTGAACTTCTGGCCTCAAGTGATCCTGGGCCTCCCAAAGCAACGTGATTACAGGCGTGAGCCACCACGCCCAGCCTTCTGGTTACCTTTAAGTGTCTGGAGAAACATCGTCTTCTACTGTTCTGCCTGGATCTTCTTGGTTGTTGTTGTTATTGTTGTTTTGTGTGTTTTTTATTTTTATTTTTATTGAGACAGGGTCTCACTCTGATATGCAGTGGCAGAATAAGGGCTCACTGCAGTCTCGACATGGAATCAAGAATCAAGCAATCCTCCTGCCTCAGCCCCTCAAGTAGCTGGGACTACAGGCATGCGCCACCACACCCAGCTATTTTATATATATATGTATATTTTGTAGAGATGGGGTTTCACCATGTTGGCCAGGCTGGTCTCAAACTCCTGGACTCAAGTAAACCGTCTGCCTCGGCCTCCCAAAGTGCTAGGATTACAGGCATGAGCCACTGGGCCTAGCTTGCCTGGCTCTTCTTGATTTCTTGGGCCTCAGTTGCCCCCGAAGAAAAATAGAATTAAACTTGGCCTTTCTGAAGGCAAGAGTAGAATTGGATTATTTCTTTAACTTCCAGTTTAGAATCCAGGTCCAGCTTCAAACCCATACTGAACATGCCTCATCCAGAGCCCCTTTGAAGTCAGGGAGGAAGGGGTCTTGGGAGTCCTGGCTGAGGATGTGCTCCCATCAGCCAGGACTCACAACACCACTATCTAACTGCCGAACATTTTTATCACTCTGCCCCCGACATAATCTGCTCTCACAGGCTCACACTCTGGCAGGAATTGGGAGAAGGAGCTAGAACCATCTGCACCTTGAGATGTGTCTGTAAATGAGTACTTAGGATCATGCCACAGGAGTCTCCATAGTATATGGTATACCTTGGCCCATTCTAGGCTCCTTCAAGTGCCTTTTGGAAATCAACCTTTTTATCTGGGGAGGGAGGGTGAGAAAAAGAGCCAGAAGTTCATGTTGAAGTGGATTTGTGGAATATTTGCAAATCTACTTTTATTTTATTTTTTTGAGACAGGGTCTCGCTCTGTTGCCGAGGCTGGAGTACAGTGGTGCAATCACAGCTCACTACAGCCTCGACCTGCAGGGCTCAAGTGATCCTCTCACCTCAACCTCCAGAGTAGCTGGGACTACAGGCACATGCCACTGCACCTGGCTAATTTTTATTTTATGTGTTTTTTGTAGAGACAGGGTGTCATTATGTTTCCCAGGCTGGTCTCGAACTCCTGAGCTCAAGCGATCCTTCTGCCTCAGCCTCCCAAAATGCTGTCCTGCTTGGATCTTCTTGGTTGTGAATATGGAGGATTTTATTATAGGCATGAGCCAACACGCCCATCCATAAATCTATATTCAGTGGATTTTTTGAATGGTTCATTCCTTTGTGCAGAGTGTCTCTGCCTGAGCAAGACTTTGAGAATCCAAGATGTTCTTCATTCTCTCGTACATTTCCACAGCACCTGCTAAGTTTGTATTTAATGTTTTTTTTTTAAATTTTGCTTTGTTTGTTTCTTGAAAATAAGATAAAATCAGAGGAGATACTCCTTTTTTTGAGACAGGGTCTCGCTCTGTTGCCCAGGCTGGAGTGCAGTGGTGTGATCATAGCTCACTGCAACCTTGACCTCCCAGGCTCAAGCTGAAACAAGATAGTCCCCCTGACCCCTTTGAGGGACTCAAGAAGGGGTTGGCTGGTTTACTTAGCCTGCAGCTCTCAACCCCTCATGGTGGGGGAGCACACAGGTGAGTGGGTGCAAGGGCTGGGATGAATGCTTCTGGGCACCAGAAGTAGAACTCTGTGCAGCTCCATAGCAGCATCTAGCAGGGGTACCTGTGACCTCAAGAGCCTCAGAGGACATATGTTACAGTGTGCCCTTTTAGCTTTGCCACCCAGGGATGGCTTAAATGTTTACCAGCTCAGTGGATGGTGAGGGTGACAGCCTTTTGCACCTGCCCTCTTGGTACCTGAGTTCTTGTCCAGCATCCAGGAAGATTCAGATCACACAAATGAATTGAAGGGTGGTGAATATGGAGGATTTTACTGAGCAGTGGAAGTGGCTCTCAGCAGGATGGGGAGCTGGAACAGGGATGGAGTGGAAAGGCAGTCTTCTCCCAGAGTTCAGCTGTCCCTGGCGGAACTCTTCTCTGAAGTCTCGCTGTCAAGCCATCCCTCTGAAGTCAAACTGCTTCTCTCCGACACCTGGCTGCTGCTTCTCTTTTCTCCTTCTCTGCTGCTCCACTCTGCCACTGTGCCACCCCTCTGCCAACAGAGCCTGGGGTTTTTATAGGTAAAAGATGGGGGCTGGGGGCAGGCCAGAAAGCAACATTCAAGCTGGAAAACAGAGACAAAGTGAGAACACGTTGTGCCGTGGTCCAAGGCTTGAGGGTGTGGGCCTCTCCAGGGAACTTGCCATTTTCTGCCTAGCATTTTCCTGCTTCCTGTCCACATCAACACAATCCTCCCACCTCAGCTTTCCAAGTAGCTGGAACTACAGGCACACATCACTACGACCAGCTAATTTTTTGTATTTTTTGTAGAGACGGGATTTTACCATGCCGCCCAGGCTGGTCTCAAACTCCTGGGCTTAAGCTATCCATATACCTCGATGTCCTAAAGTGCTGGGATTACAGGTGTGAGCCACCACGCCCGGACTTTTTTTTTTTTTCTGAGACAGAATCTCCATCTGTCGCCCAGGCTGGAGTGCAGTGGTGTGATGTCGGCTCACTGCAACCTCTGCCTCCCAGGTTCAAGTGACTCTCCCTCCTCAGCTTCCCGAGTAGCTGGGATTACAGGCGCGTGCCATCAGGCCCAGCTAATTTTTTGTATTTTTAGTAGAGACGGTATTTTTAGTATTTTTAGTTGGCCAGGATGGTCTCGAACTCCCGACTTCAGGTGATCCACCCGCCTCAGCCTCCCAAAGTGCTGGGATTACAGGATTACAGGGGTAAACCACCGCACCTGGCTGAGTGAGCGAATTTTTGTGTGGCTGGGTGCATTTTGACCTCTTTTCTTGCCCCATTCCTGCTGCCTTTTTTTTTTTTCTTTTTTTTGAGACAGAGTCTCGCTCTGTCACCCAGGCTGGAGTGCAGTGGTGTAATCTCAGCTCACCTACTGCGTTCAATCAATTCTCGTGCCTCGGCCTCCTGAGTAGCTGGGACTACAGGCACCCACCACCATGCCCGGCTAATTTTTGCACTTTTTGTAGAGATGGTGTGGCGGGAGGGGTCTCACCATGTTGGCCAGGCTGGTCTTGAACTCCTGACCTCAAATGATCCACCTGCCTTGGCCTCTCAAAGTGCTGAGATTACAGGCATGAGCCACCACACCCGGCCCCTGGTGCCTTTTCACGGGGCTGGAATAGCTGAGGTAGCCCATTCTACCCTCTTTCTGCCTTCTGCCTGGGACCCAGCTGGCGTTCTTTGGTTTGCTTTCTCTAAGCTCTAGGCCTGTGCTATCCAACACAGTAACCACGTGTGGCTGTTTAAATTTAAGTCAACTAAAATCACATAAAGTTAATTCATTCCTCATGTGCTGGAACTGAACTGGAGTCTGCTCACCTGGCACAGTAAGACCAGATATCCATTCTGAGATTTTTGCAGCAATAGAAAGGAAAGTGTTTATTTGCAGGGCACCCAGCAAAGAGGACCAGGCAGCTAAGGCTTAAACTCTGACCTCCCCGATGGTTTGCAGGTAAGGGTTTTTAAAGGCAGTGGTAAATTTCAGGAGAGCAGAAGTTATAGGCAAAATCGTTGCATGGAGGTTACACACTGGTCTTGGCCTGAAACAGTGGGATATCACGCAGCTTGGGGCTTACAGGTCATAGGTAGAGTCAACGTTTTCTGATTTGCAATTGGTTAAAGTAAAGAAGGTTTGTTTAAAAATTTGGGATCAGCAGAAAAGAAGGTTAGCTTGGACTGGTGGGTGTGACTCCCACTAAGCCCTTCAGGAAGAAATTTACAACAAAGAGTTCAGTCTTCTCCCGATACTTTTGGGGAGGGGTCCAGGTTTCTAAAAAACAACTCAGAAACATATGCTAAGATGTTGTATTTAGTTTCTGTAGAGGAACCAAACCTCTGACTCTGACTTCCTTGGCTATTGTTTTAGGCTACTATTACCTTCTTGGTTATCAAGTTGCTTATTTACTTCCCGGGGCTAGGTAGGGGCTTGGAATTTCCTTGGAAGGAACTCAAGGTTTTCCTTTATTTCCATGCTTGTGGGGAGCCCAGCAGGCCCCTAAGAGAGATCCCTGCTCCATCTAACTCAGTTGCATTAACCACACTTCAAGGGCTCACTCGGTCACCGTACGTGGCTCGTGGCCACCGTGCTGACCACACAGAGAGCGCATTTCCATCCTTCGCACAGCACCGTTCTAGAGAATGCAACTGGCTTCACAAGTCACAGCCTCAGCTGTGCAGGGATGACCCTTTCCCTGGGCAAGGGGAGGGGAGATGGGGAAGGGCTGATGAGGTTCCAGCTGGGGCCTGTTATCTGGGACCCTGCTTCTCCAGAGAGGAGAGGCCTGGTTGGGCTGGTGGTCCCGGTTACTTGGGCTGGTGGGTGTGACTCCCTCTAAGCCCTTCAGGAAGAAATTTACAACAAAGAGTTCAGTCTTCAGCGGATCCTTCTGGGGAGGGGCCCAGGTTTCTGAAAAACGACTTGGAAATATATGCTAAGATGTTGTCTTTAGTTTCCATAGAGGAACCAAACATCTGACTAACTTCCTTGGCTATTGTTTTAGGCTACTATTACCTGAGCCTGGCTCAGCCTGGGTGGACGGTGCCTCCTCCTGACCCCACTGGCTGGGGTAACAGGAATGACCCTCCCTTGCTGCACCCACTGGCTATTAGCTGCCATCACCACCCCAACCCAGGGTCCCCACTGGAGGGGTTCTCTTCTACCCCGGGTGACCTTTTCCGCAGGCGGTGTTGGAGTGAGCACCTCTCTGTAGCTGTCTCTCACACTCTTGTCTGTTACTGATTTTTTTTTTAATAAAAAGGTAAGAAAACTTGATACCTTCTATTTTTAAAAACAATGAATTTGTGATGTATGAATTATATCACACTTAAGTTTTTTTTATTTATTAAAGGAGATGAAACTGCCCAAAGAAAGATAGAAAGTGGACTGTCCCAGGTGCCACTGAGAGCGCCACTGGGGTCTGGAGACGTGTGCCCCAATCCCTTTCCATCTCCCTGCAACCCTTTTATTTTTTTAAAGGATAAGCTTTCACTCTGTTGCCCAGGCTGGAGTGCAGTGGCCCTATCAAAGCTCATTGCAGCCTCAAACTCCTGGGCCCAAGCGATCCTGCCTCTGCCTCCCAAGTAACTGGGACTACAGGTGTACGCCATCATGCCCAGCTAATTTTTAAATTTTTTGAAGAGACAGGGTCTCACCATGTTGCCAGGCTGATCTCAAACTCCTGGCCTCCAGCAATCTTCTCACATCAGCCTCCCAAAGCACTGGGATTATAGGTGTGAGCCTCGGCACCTGGCTTCCATCTCCCCTTTTCAGGCCACCCACTTCACATCTGTGTGGTCTAAATGCCCCCTACTCACCTCCTCCCAGTGATGCCTGCCCTATGTCGAGGCTCCTGTACCCCCGGGAAGGGCCCCTTTAGACCTACCCAACTGCTTCTGGCAAGATCCATCCTGGGAGGGAGGGTGATCAGGAATGTGCCAGGGATGGACTGAAAGGGGTGGCTGTTTCAGATTTCCTAGTAACCGGCTGACAGGAGAGGTTGGGGCGCAAGCAGCTCTATCTACCCACCTGCGGTTGTTTGTTTAAGTTGTGGTTGTTGCCATGGTCCCCTGAGAGCTTGGTAAATGAGGAGCCAAACACACATGGGACCTTACCTGTAGACAGTGTGCTCTGGGGTTTAGGGGGCAGGCTGGGGGTCTCTCCTTCCCCAAGGCCTTTGTTTCAAGGCAGGCAAAATTAACCCTTCTGGCCCCAAGACACCCTGCAGCCTGAATCCAGCTTGAATCCAGGCAGATCCAGGCTTCTACACAATGACGATTTAAAGCATTTATTGAGCACTTACTATATTCTGGACACAATATTAAGCCCTACAGGGGAAAGCAGGGTGGGCTGTGCAATCCAGAGTCAGATAGGTTTGGGTTCAAGTTCTGGCTCCTCATTTACTGGCTGTGTGACCTCAGAAAAGTTTCTTGATCTCTCTGAACTTCTATTTGTTTAGCTGTAAAATGGGAATACCCATACCTGCTTCTGAATGATTTGATAATGATATAAAGCTCCCAGCACAGAGGGTATGCTCACCAATGGGAGACTGTGAGCTCTATGCAAGCTGGGTCCTAATCTGTCTTGTTTGCTGTAATCTACCCCCTCCACATGCTTCTCACTTTCCCACCTCCATGCCTTTGCCCATGCCATCCCCTCCACTTGGGATGCCCTTTATTCTGCTCTCCATAAATCAAAATCCTTCCTTTCTTCAAGGCCTGGCTCAGATGCCAACTGCATCACATATAGGTGACTTTCATGCTTAGGCTCTCTCCCTAACTAAGGTGGAAGCTCCTAGAGCCAAGACTATGGGATAGCATAACAGCACAATGGCAGAGTGGTTAATTGCATGGGTTTACCCCTGGATAAGTTACTTCTCCATACCTCAGTTTGCTTATCTGCATAATGGGCGTAATAGTACCTACCCAACACCACAGGTATGTTCTGAGGTTTAAATGAGGTAATGCACTGCTTTTTTCTTTTTTGAGATGGAGTCTCACTCTGTCCCCCAAGCTGGAGTGCAGTGGCATGATCTCGGCTCACTGCAACCTCCGCCTCCCAGGTTCGGGCCATTCTCCTGCCTCAGCCTCCTGAGTAACTGGGATTACAGGCATCCGCCATCACGCCCGGCTAATTTTTGTATTTTTAGCAGACACGGTTTTGCCATGTTGGCTAGGCTGGTCTGGAACTCCTGACCTCAGGTGATCCACCTGCCTCGGCCTCCCAAAGTGCTGGGTTTACACGTGTGAGCCACCTCACCAGGCCAAAATGAGGTAATGCATGTAATGAGACCCCATCTCTACAAAAAATATAAGAAATTAGCAGGGCGTGGTGGAATGTGCCTGCAGTCCAGGCTACTCCGGGGGGTTGAGGTGGGGAGGATTGATTGAGCCTGGGGAGGTCGAGGCTGTAGTGAGCCGAGATCATGCCACTGCACTCCAGCCTGGGCAACAGAGTGAGACCCTGTCTCAAAAATAAAATAAAATAAAGTAGAATAAAATAAAAATGGGCCACCTGCACCATCCAATATGGTAACCACTAGCCAGATTGAACAATTTAAAGTAAAATGTATCAAAATCCAATTCAATTAAAACTTCAGTTCCTCAGTCACGCTAACCATCTTTCACATGTAACTAGTGGCTACCAGATATGTCTAACAGGACACCCCAGACAGAAGATGTCTACCATCACAGGAAGTTCTGTGGAGTGGCACTGTAGCTGATGAGGATTTGTGAACATAGCAAGGTACTTGACAAATCTGTGGTCTGGGTCAGGAAAAGAGCTCAGTGTGAAGGCTCACAACTCCTGAGGAGACCCCCAACCCTCCCTCCTGGCTCTCCTTCACAGTCTCCGATGCCCCTAGAAGTAACTAGCACACCTCACATTATAGGGATTAGGGTGAGAAAGGAGACTGGTGAGAAATGGGCAGGATTAGTGGCTCGGGAAAGGGCAGTGGAGGAACCCAATCTCTGTACATTACTGGCCTGGCAGGAAGTGGGTGTAGACAGCAGCTGGGGCTTTGCAGAAATTGAGGCTGGAATGTGAAATGGGGCAGGGCTGGGGTGTGGAGAGTTACCTAACTGTTCCTGAGTACATGCCACGGGCTCCCCAGGCAGAGGGAAATGGCCAGCATTAGCCCTGCCTTCTCCTTCTGGATCCAACTCTGTGAGGAGCCCAGAGCAAGGAAGATGTCCCTGAGAAGATGTCTGATACTGACCAACATCTACTAGCCTAAAGAGACCCTGGGTTAGCCCAGAATAGAGGCCCACTGTAGCTCAGGGGTGGGTACCCAGGATGCCCCAGGAGTAGGGGACCTAGAAAAGCCCTAGGCAGAATGGTGTGGGCTAGCCCAGCTGCTGGGGCCGAGGCTAGCCCGGGGTTGGTTTCAGCCCATGCAGACCCCCTCAAGGCTGAGATGTGGCCATGTGGCCATGTGGCCATGCTGCAGCCTCAAGCTGATGGTTTCTTCAGAGAGAGTCATGGATAACAGGGTCTCTCCCTTCCTGGAGCTGAAGCTTACAGCTCCAGGGGGGACCAGGAGAGCTGAAGGAGAGTATCCCTCAGATGCACACAACCCTTGACAGTCCCTATGTCTCATTAGATCTTCCCTCTAACCACATAAGGAGGGGAAGGCAAACATTAACGGCCCCATTTTATAAATGAAGCAAGTGACGTTCAAAAGATGCCATCTGTCCTCTTCTTGACTGTGGACACAAAAGAAGGACCTGGGCCTCCCACCCCCAACAAAGTGAATGAACTGTTTACTACACTGACCAAGCCTCAGAATCCTACCCTTTCAGAGCTGGGTAGAGGGGGGTGATCTTTGCAGAATCCTAAGTGTGGGAAGACTGGGGCTCAGGGAGAAAGGGTACCCACAAGGAGCGGTCCTCATTCTCCTGAAACTCCCCCTTCTCCAGGGCAGTGGTCACTGGAGGCCTGGGAGGGTCAGCGGGTTCTACAGGCACTCACTCTGGGCTCCAAGGTCACGGGAGGCCAGCCTCCCTTCCTCCCAGCTGCCTCCTCCTGGCAGGGGACCTCTGGCACACGCTCCATGCCCGCCTGCCCCTCCAGATCTGTCCCCAAGCCAAGCAGGGGACCTCACTTAATCCCAATTATGTAATCTGCAATTTAAACAGTTGGCCCATGAGGAGGCGCTTGGAGCCACGCCCAGGAGTGGGGGCAAAAGGACCCAGCTGGGTCAGGGCTGACAAACTAGGCTTGGCCTCTTGCCTATAGTGGCCACCACTCCTCAAGCCCCAGCCAGCACCATGAGCGGCCGAGTTGGAGACCTGAGCCCCAAACAGGCAGAGACCCTGGCCAAGGTGAGAGCCCCTCCCCCTGGAGTTCCGGAAGACCAGGGGAAAGGGGCTGGGGGGTGGAAAGAAGTGGCTGGAATCCTGCCCCACTCAGTTGATTCAGCATGTCCTTGACATTGTCTCTTTGGTGTTACCTCCCAAAGGGTCAAGCCCCACGGTGCCCAGTAACATCAACCCTGTCCCGGGCGGGGGTTGAGGGACTAGCACCACTTCCAGGCAATAACGTGGGTGGTGCCCACCCAAGTCAAGCCTGACTTCTTCTCATCCAGGAGCCAGAACCAGAGAGGTTTACCTGGCAGCCAGGTACCCCCGTTCCTCCCTCCCAGGCACCATAGGTAGGAGCTGAAAGATGCTGCTGGTCTGCCCTTTAACCCCTTCCTCTTTGGGATCCTGAAAGATGACCAGTCTGTAAAAGCCCAAGAGACAGAGCAGAAAGTGTTGTCTTTCAAAGAGCTAAAGGAAGAAGAGGACATATAATTATTAACCATGTTTTAATAGAAGATGGGATGAAAAAAAGCAGATGTTTTGAGGGCTAACACATGGAGGGAACTAAGAATGCATCCAAACTCCAATCCACTTATTCATCCACCCAATTATTTATCCTTTCTTCTTCTTTTTCTTCTTTTTTTTGAGATGGAGTCTCTGTCATCCAGGCTGGAGTGCTGTGGAGCGATCTCAGCTCACTGCAGCCTCTGTCTCCCAGGTTCAAGCAATTCTCCTGCCTCAGCCTCCTGAGTAGCTGGGATTACAGGCATGTGCCACCACACCTGGCTAATTTTTGTATTTTTAGTAGAGATGAGTTTTCACCATGTTGGCCAGGCTGGTCTCAAACTCCTGACCTCAGGTGATCCACCAACCTCAGCCTCCTAAAGTGCTGGGATGACAGGCGTGAGCCACCATACCTGGCTGTTTATCCTTTCTTTCATCCACCCATCCCTCTTCCTACCCACGCAGCCACCTATCCATCTTTCTTTCTCTCAATCACCCACCCATCTCTCCTCTGTCCATTCACTGATTTATCCACCCACCCACTCTCCATCCATCCATCTATCCATTCATCCATTGATTTCTTCTCCCTTTTTCCATCTACCTACCCACTCACCCATCTATTCTTCTTTCTAACCATTTATTCATCCATCTATCCTCCTTCCATTCATCCACCTATCCAGTGATCCATCTGCCCTTCTATTCAACCATTAACCCATCCTTTCATCAATGTGGGCCATTTTGCATGTGGGAGGAAAGGAGAGGTTGTGAAAACAGTCTTTGAGTCTGGAGGCCAAGGCTCAATGTGAGAGAGCCACTTTAACCAGCATCTCTCTTGCCAGTTCCGAGAAAACGTCCAGGATGTGCTTCCTGCCCTGCCCAACCCTGATGATTATTTCCTTCTACGCTGGCTCCGAGGTGAGGGCAGAGGTGGGAGAGGTTGGGATCAGGGGGCATCAAGAGGGGCCTGGTCTCAACTGCTCCAGAGTGTCTCATGGCTCTCAGGGTCCATCCACACAATCTTGCTTCACATGTTCAGGTCCAGAGGAGGGAAGGGGGTAGGGGAGCAAGGTCTCACCCAGGCCCCCAGTGTCCTCCATAGCTCCCACTGGCCAGGAGTAAGACAAGGCATCTTTCCTGTCTCACACCTTCCTTCTGTTTTCCCACAGCTCGGAATTTTGACTTGCAGAAGTCGGAGGCTTTGCTCCGCAAGGTGAGACCTATCCACTCTGGAAATTTATGGAGGGGATTTGTCAGGGGCAATCCATGCCTCAAGCCCCTCCTTCCATCCCTGTTCTCAGGGCACTGGGAGCCCAGTGGGATCTTACCACTCATTTCCCTTTCAGTACATGGAGTTCCGGAAGACCATGGATATTGACCATATCCTTGATTGGCAGCCCCCAGAGGTGAGCCAACACCGCCAAACACCTCAGTCTTTCACGGACGTACCACTCAAGGTCACTGGGGACCATGAATGAGGGGCAGCAAGCCTGAGAGGCCTGTGGAACCCGCAGGCCTGCAGTCTCCTTTCCTACAGTCATAATGAATGTTTCCTGGGGGCTTGCAAGGTCCAGGCCTAGGTTAAGATGTTAGCAGCATGAGCTTCTTTAATCATCACAATGATGGATGCTATTGTCCCCATTTTGTGGATGAGGACACTGAAGCCCAGCAAAAATTAGGTAACTTGCCCACAGTCCCATAGCCCAAGGTAGGGCTGGGATTTATGCTCAGGCCTGTTTGGGCCCCCAAACCCAGGCTCGTAACCACCACGGTTAGCCTGTGCTTCTGCACCCCTGCCCCCTAAGGCATTGCCTAAAGCATCCTGTCTGGGTGGGAAAGAAGTTTAGCCCATCAAGGCACTGATGAGGACAGTGCCACCACTGGCATCTTAGTAGAGTAATGGTCACGTCTTCACTTGTAGGGCATGTACCCGGATCTGGGCACTCTGCTTTGCCAACTTTATCTCAGGGACTTTCCCCAACAGTCCCAAGAGTGAGGGGTTATCCAAACCATTTTACAAAAAAAGTAGGTAGAATGGAGCTCAGAGAGGTGGTGTCACTTGCTCAAGGACACACAGTACAGAAGCAGCAGTATCTGCTTTTTTTTTTTTTTTTTGGATGGGGTCTCACTCTGTTGCCAAGGCTGGTGTGCAGTGTCATGATCATGGCTCACTGCAGCCTTGAACTCCTGGGCTCAAGTGATTCTCCCACCTCAGCCTCCCAAGTCTACAGATGTGTATTACCACAGCTGGCTAATTTCTTTTATTTTTGTAGGGACAGGGTCTCTCTCTGTTGCCCAAGCTGGTCTCAAACTCCTGGCCTCAGGAGATCCCATCTGCCTCAACCTCCTGAGTAGCTGGGATTACAGGCATGAGCCTCCATGCCCAGCCAGTGTCTGTTTTTGAACCAGCTCTGTTAACCTTCAGAATCTGTGTTCTCCATCACTAAACCCGACTCTTCTCCACAGAAAGGGACACGGGAGACATCAGGGGCAGACCTAAGAAGTCCAAGGGCCTGCTGAGACCTGGCTTTGCCATTTACCCTCTGTGAGCAAGGCCCTCCCCTGCAGGACCTCAGCTTTCTCACCTGAGACAATAGCACTGTCTTCCAGGGAGGGACAGTGCTTTTTATACCATGGTGTGTGTAGGCTTGGGCCACCCAGGTCAGCCTGGTCTGGGGTCTCAAGGGAGGTGTGTAATGCCAAGTTCTGTGCATCTTTTCATGCCCAGGTGATCCAGAAGTACATGCCTGGGGGCCTGTGTGGCTATGACCGTGATGGCTGCCCCGTGTGGTATGACATCATTGGGCCACTTGATCCCAAGGGGTTGCTCTTCTCAGTCACCAAGCAGGACCTGCTCAAGACCAAGATGAGGGACTGTGAGCGCATCCTGCATGAGTGTGACCTGCAGACAGAGAGGGTGAGGTCCAGGCCAGGTGGGGTGGATGGCTGGGGGCAGGTGAGGCTGCCGGGGGGATTGGTCTCAGAAACACACCTGTGTTCTCTACAACCACAGTCAGAGGGCTCTGGGGTCAAACACCAGCTCTGTTGCTTACCAGCTGTGTGGCCTTGAAAAGTCACAGTCACAGAAAGACAGTTTCTTGAAGGATACTTTTGCTGGGAATAGAACCCTCTTTTTTTTTTTGCTTGAGACAGAGTCTCGCTCTGTCACCTAGGCTGGAGTGCAGTGGTGTGATCTTGGCTCACTGAAACCTCCGCCTCCCAGGTTCAAGGGATTTTCCTGCCTCGGCCTCCTGAGTAGCTGGGATTACAGGCGCCCGCCACCACGCAGGGCTAATTTTTGTGTTTTTAATACAGACGGGGTTTCACCATGTTGGCCGGGATGGTCTCGATCTCCTGACCTTGTGATCCACCCGCCTCAGCCTCCCAAAGTGCTGGGATTACAGGCGTGAGCCACCGTACCAGGCCGGGAATAGAATTCTTGGTTGATGGGTTTTTTTGCTTTGTTTTGTTTTGCTTCAGTGTTTTGAATATGTCATTTCACCTGTCTGAGCCTCAGCTCCTTCACCTATAAAACAGGGATATGAATAAATAATGGTTGCAAAAGTGAAATGAAATAATGCAAGTATGCAATTTAGCACACAGGGCCTAATATATATTTCTCAACAATGGTAGCTATTGCTATTCCCTCTGAGCCTTTCTTTGCCCTTGCTATTCCTTCTGTCTGAACAACCCTAGTTCCCACCACACACACCTACCTCCCACAACTTTCCCTGACTTTCTCCTATCTATCCTTTAGGTCTGAAACTTAGATGTTACCTTCTCTGAGTCCCCCGCCTGGGTTAAATAACCTCTTCTGTATCCCTGAAGCTCTTGTGCTGACCTATTGCAGCACTTATCATAGGATCCAAATGACCTGGTTGCTTGTCATCTCCCCAGCCAGACAGTGAACTTTTTAAGGACAAAAACTGTGGGTTATTAGGCACTATTCATTACACTTTAGTGTCTGGCACACACAAAAAAGTGCTTGATAAATATCAGTTTATATTTATCAGTTTATATTTATATTATGGAAAAATGGAGGATGAATAAATTAATGACAATATGAATGAATGGATGGATGGTTCAATTAATTGATGAGTAAGTTGATATATACGGGGGTGGGTGGGTGGATGGTTGGATAGATGGATGGATGGATGGATGGATGGATGGATGGATGTGGATGGATGGATGGATGAGTGGGGAAATGCATTCACTGGTTAGTCTACTTGTTCCTCTGAGGACAGAGTCGGGGTCTAGAAGAAGCCCCAAGGGGTCATGTACTTGGATTACCATCTCCCAAGCCTACACCCTGAACTCCAGAACTACTTCTTGCTCTCATCCTTGCAGCTAGGGAAGAAGATTGAGACCATCGTGATGATATTTGACTGTGAGGGCCTGGGACTGAAACACTTCTGGAAACCTCTGGTAGAAGTGTACCAGGAGGTAAGGAGAAGTCCTAGGGCCACCCCCCGCTTGCTTTGATGACCAGCTTGGCCTGCCATGACCCAGCTGCTTACTGAGAGCCAAGATTTAGTTTAAAAATGTCCTGGGCTCCCTCATTGTGACTCAAACTCCAGAAGGCCTTAATACCTTTCCTAGAAGATCCCACAGAATGGGTTTCAGGGACAACACTGTACTGAGACCACACGTTCCAGCTTCCACCAAACCCTCTCCATGCTTGTTTCCTGACCTACAAAATGGGGATAGCAATGTAGGGATACTTCAGCAAGTTGTTATGTAAAGTGTATATACACTGCTTGGCAAATAGTGAACATTTAATCAACAGTAGTCATTATTATTATACTACCATTATTATAATATTTACTAAAAACAATTATTATGTAATTATTATTAGAGTATGGTTATAATAGTATGAGGTGAGAAGGTTCCCTCCAGAGGCCAGGGGAGGTGATGGCATGAAGGGAAACCCTCCAGAGCCATCTGAAACCTCCCAACAGGAGATTGCACAGGAGATGGAGGTAGGAGAAGATGTGATGTGCTCTCTGAAGGGATCTCTCTTGGTTCCACAGTTCTTTGGCCTCCTTGAAGAGAATTACCCAGAGACCCTGAAGTTCATGCTCATCGTGAAAGGTATGTGACAAATGACTTCACTTACTTGTGCCTCTGTTTCCTCATCTGTACGCTGAGGGTGATAACACTGTCTTTGTCCCAGGATTGTTGTGAGGCAGGTTGGTTTCTTGGCTGTATGCAAATCACTTAGAATGCCTGGCATAGAGTAAGTTCTCAATAAATGGTAACTTCTAGGGTTGGCCTTACTGCAAGAGAAGGCAGCTCCAGTCCCAGCTCTCCCAGGGATCCTCCCTTATTTCTCCTGTCCATGATGATCTCTCCCTCCCCAGACTGCTTCTGGCACTGGCAACTGGTGCAGCCTTCCCTGTTTGCTGCCTTTTAGGGATCTCCAGCTGTTTTATTTGTGCTCATCCTGCTTTACTGGCTGAGTTTTCTGCTCCTTGAAGCCAGGGGCTGTGATTCTCCACTTTTGTTGTAGCCCTCACAGGCCTGGGTCCATGGTGGATGCTCCATAGGTATTTGGGTAATTGTTGTGGGTAGATGAAAGGATGGATGGATGTTTGGTGATTGGCTAGTTGGTTGATCAGTTGGTTGCTTGATTGGTTGTTCAGCTGACTGGCCAGTTGGTTGCTTGGCTAGTTGACTAACTGGTGGTTCGTTGGAGAATTGGCTGGCTGCTTGGTTGGCTAGTTCTTAGCTTGGTTGACTGATTGAGTGGCTGGTTGGCATTTTGGTTGGTAGGTTGTTTTGATGGCTAGTTAGTTGGTTGCCTGGTTAGCAGGTTGGTTAGTTGGTTGCCTGGTTTGTTGTTTGGCTGAATCTTAGATGATTATTTGGATGGTGGCTGGCTGGTTATTTGGATGGTTGGCTGGCTGGTTATTTGACTGACTGGCTGGCTAGTTATTTGGATGGTTGGCTGGCTGGTTATTTGACTGACTGGCTGGCTGGTTATTTGGATGGTTGGATGACTGGTTATTTGGATGGTTGGCTGGCTGGTTATTTGGATGGTTGGCTGGCTAGAGAACACAGTTAGTTGAGTGGTTATCTGGCTGTTCCATTGGCTGATTGCTTTGCTGTTTGGCTGATTTGTTAGATGGTTGACTATTTGGTAGGTTGGCTGGTTAGAAGTTAAATTGTTTGACTATTTGTTGTCAGTTGGTTGGTTTGTTGCATAGTTGGTTGGCTGTTTGGTAGGTTGGCTGGTTTATTGGTTGACTGAATAGGTGGCTGATTAGAAGTTTGAATGACTGGCTGGTTTGTTGGCTGAATGGTTGGTTGATGGTTGCATTGCATGATTGATGCATGATTGGTTAGTTGGCTGTTTGTTGGCTGGTTGACTGGTTGGTTGGATGGTTTGTTGGGTGCAGGACAGACACTGGAATTGACCAGGGTTAGTCATGACTCCTCTGTATCATTGGCTATAACCATTATGGAGGGGGTTGCCCAATGTAATTCTTTTCTTCCCATTATCCTTACTTCTATCTCTCCAGCTACCAAACTGTTCCCTGTGGGCTACAACCTCATGAAGCCATTCCTGAGTGAGGACACTCGCAGGAAAATTATTGTGTTGGGAAGTAAGTAGTGCCAGCTCAATTTCCTGACCTCTATACATGACCTTTGGAGTGAGGTTGTCCCATTACCCCATCTAGAACTCCACACATTAGGTTGGGTGCAGTGGCTCACGAATGTAATCCCAGCACTTTGGGAGGCTGAGGCAGGAGGATTGCTTGATATCAGGAGGTTGAGACCAGCCACAGCAACATAGCAAGACCCCATCTCTACAAAAAATTTAAAAATTAGCTGGTTGTGGTGGTGCACACCTGTAATTCCAGATACTTAGGAGGCTGAGGTGGGAGGATCACTTGAGCCCAGGAGTATGAAGCTGCAGTGAGTCGTGTTCACACCACTGCACTCCAGCCTGGGCAACAGAGTGAGAACCTATCTCAAAAACAACAGAACTCTACACATCACCTAGTCAGAGGCTCCTTCTTCCCAACAGTGAAGTGGGTTTTACCCTAAAGAGTGTTACCTTTGCTCTTTTCCCTGCCATACCCCTTTGGTGGACAAGGCCTCCACACCTACCACCTCACTGGTTTCAGTTTGGTTGCAGTCAATTTCTGGTATATAGGCCTCGGTTTCTTTTCAACACTCATAAGCTTAGTGCTTCCAAAGGCAACCTTGGCAGAAGAGGATGAGGCAGACGAGCAGAAAGAGTAGTCACAATTCAGAGAAAGGAGACCCAACAAGAAAGGACTGGATAAATAAATAATGGTGCATGCATTTGATGAATTCTGGAGCCGCCATGAGAAATAAGGCTATATGTGAATATTTAATGCCATGGAAATGTCTTTAAGTTTTTAAAAGTAGATTATAAACTTATCTTCATAAGCATAAACTAAAATAAGATTAAACTAAAAGTATAATCTTATTTTATGAAAACATATGTACAATAAATACATATTTCTACAAGGAAAAACAACAAAATATTTTTTGTTGATAGTGAGAGATCGTGTGGTTTTTAATTTTATTACCTGTATTGTCTATGATTTCTAAACTGTATAATAATATGTATTAATTTTACAAATAGGAGAATAGTTGTGTTTACAAGTGACAGGCTGAGAGAAAGAGAGAGAAGGGAAATAGTTCTTAAACCCAAACCAATGACCCTGGCTTGGAGGAAAACTTCTCCCAAGCAGGATAGTCAGATCACAGAATTAGGAGAACTGAGGATCCAGGGGTGAGGGGGAGCTTATAAATCCTTACTTTCTCTTTCTTCCTGGTACCTGAGCCTCTGCCTCTACCCAATTCCACTGGGATGGGGAACTTGATAGATTATGAGGGCCTGGTTTGAAGGGTCCAGGCTCATGCCTTCTACGCCTTCCAAAGCCTAGAGCAGTGTGGGTTACCAGCACAGTCCAGGCCTTAAGTCCACAGCCTCTGCCCCATGTGACTCTGCTCATTTGGCTCTGGTATGTGGCACATTGTGGTCTTCCCCTTAATACCACTGTAGAGAAGGAACCTCCCATGGCCAAAGTGAGGGGGTTGGGGGACCGGGTAGCCTGGATTAGCCATAAGGCTGGGGCATGGTAACAGCCAGGACCCAGAACTCTTAGAGCTTTACATAGGGCATGAAGAACATTATGGTCATGGTGATTAGGCAGAGGGAAGTGGGGAGGGTCCCTCCAAAAGCCCAGGGCTGTCCATCCCCCACTAGGAGGTCTGACTTGGGCATGCCACTTACTTACAGAGTGATCCCAACAAGGCCGTTGACGTCATTGAGCTCTAAACTCTCCTTGAGGCAATTAGATAACTCTTAGTTTCACTGCTCATGACTGGAAGATCTTCAAGAATGTGCTGTTGGCTGGGCGTGGTGGCTCATGCCTGTAATCCCAGCACTTTGGGAGGCCGAGGCGGGTGGATCACAAGGTCAGGAGTTCAAGACCATCCTGGCCAAGGTGGTGAAACCCCGTCTCTACTAAAAATATAAAAATTAGCCAGTCATGGTGGTGGGCACCTGTAATCCCAGATACTCAAGAAGCTGAGGTAGAGAACTGCTTGAAACCATGAGGTGGAAGTTGCAGTGAGCTGAGACCACACCACTGCACTCCAGCCTGGGTGACAGAGCAAGACTCCGTCTCAAAAAAAAAAAAAAAGAATGTGCCATAGGCTGGGCATGGTGATGGTGGCTTACACCTGTAATCCCAACACTTTGGGAGGCCCAGGTAAGACAATCATTTGAGCCCAGGAGTTTGAGACTAGCCTGGGCAACATAGTGAAACCCTATCTCTACAAAAAAAAACCAAACAAAACCAAATAAAAATTAGCCAGGCATGGTGGTACATGCTTGTAGTCCCAGCTACGCAGGAGGCTGAGGTGGGAGGATCACTTGAGCCCAGGAAGTCGAGGCTGCAGTGAGCCATGATCATTCCACTGCACTCCAGACTGGACAACAGAGTGAGACACTGTCTCAAAGAAAAAAAAAGTGCTGATTCATCTATCAAGGCGGGAAACACATTTCCACAGCAACACAATGCTGAGAAAGACACTTACTGTAGCCCCAGGCCTAGGACACTGGGGAATTGGTCCTGGCAGCCTACCTCCTATAGGGCTTCTCCCCCAGTTCAGGTCATCCTGGTGGGTGTGGGAGGCTAATTGGTGCCCCCCATGCTTGCTAACCACCCTTGAATCCCACTGCTCCCAGATAACTGGAAGGAAGGTTTGCTGAAACTCATCAGTCCTGAGGAACTGCCTGCCCAGTTTGGGGGCACCCTGACTGACCCAGATGGGAACCCCAAATGTTTAACCAAGGTACAAAGAGCCCTTCCCTGGGACAAGAGAGGTTCAAGAATTAAGCTGGATTCCCTTTCCACTCAGTCATTCATCCACAATTACCTATAGAGAGATGCCAAGAACTGGGTGTTAAGCTAGTCAATACAACCCTCGCCCTTACAGAGCTCTCAGCAGCTGTAAAGGCAAACAAGAAATAGGCGAATTTTAACCCAGAGGGATGAGCTGGGAGGGGAAGCTCCCAGCAGACGCACTGGCCCAGTTTGGAGGGTCATAGAAGGCTTGAGGAGGTGGGAGAGTGGGGCTAGGATGAAGAGGATACTTCCAGGAGGTGGTGAAAGTGTCTCAGGCAGAAGAAACATGAACAATGGCCAGGAGACGGAAGCAAGCCCATCTCATCCCATGTCCGCAGATTAACTATGGCGGGGAGATCCCCAAGTCCATGTACGTGCGGGACCAGGTGAAGACTCAGTACGAGCACTCGGTGCAGATCAACCGCGGCTCATCACACCAAGTGGAATACGAGATCCTATTTCCAGGCTGCGTTCTCAGGTAGGGGCAGGCCCTAACCCCTCAGAGACCCATCAGGCTGAGCAGCAACCTGTCTCCTCCCCCTCCCCCTGACAGGTGGCAGTTCTCATCTGATGGTGCGGACATCGGCTTCGGAGTTTTCCTGAAGACCAAGATGGGGGAGCGACAGCGGGCAGGGGAGATGACAGATGTTCTACCCAGCCAGCGCTATAACGCCCACATGGTGCCCGAGGATGGGAACCTCACCTGCTCAGAGGCCGGCGTCTGTAAGTCTGCCCCAGCTGGGACCTGGCTCTGAAAGGCTAGAGCCACCTGTCCCATGCTTTAGAGAAGGAAACAGAGGGGCAGTGACACACCTCCCCCATTCAGGGACACACAGCCTAGGTTAGCACCATTCATTCATACAGTCACTCACTCAGTCCATATTCATGAGCACCTACTGTGCACCAGGAGCCAGAGACATACAGGCCCTGAAGGAATTGGGGACACCTGGACCACAGAACACAGACAACAAGTGATAGGGCAGGTGTAGTTTTCCACATGAGGAAACCGAGGCTCTGAAAAATAAATCAACTTGTGCAGAGCCACAAAGCTGAGTGTGGTTCCAGGGTCCCACCCGAGCCTCAGGGTAGCTACATAGTCCTGGGCAAAAGTCTGACCAATCTGGGAAGGACCCTTGGTTTGCTCACCTGTGAGCCAGGAGTTACAATGCCTGTTTTTTCTCTTTTTTTTTTTTTTTTTTTTTTTGAGACAGAGTTTCACTCTTGTTGTCCAGGCTGGAGTGCAATGGTGCAATCTCTGCTCACCGCAACCTCCCCCTCCCGGGTTCAAGCGATTCTGCTGCCTCAGCCTTCTGAGTCGCTTGGATTACAGGCATGTGCACCACACTTAATTTTGTAATTTTAGTAGAGATGGGGTTTCTCCATGTTGGTCAGGCTGCTCTCGAACTCCTGACCTCAAGTGATCCACCCACCTTGGCCTCCCAAAATGCTGGGATTATAGGTGTGAGCCACTGTGCCCGGCCAACACCTGCTTTTTGGGGTGGTTGTGAGGAGGCAAACAGTGTCCAGCAGGCCTGCCCCAGAACCCCACTTCATCCAAGGGGGCTGGGAGGTCTCTGATGAACCCAACCATGTGCCTTCACAGCCCCGTCATGTGCGTCTCCAGGTGTGAGACAATGGGATGTAATGACCATTGTTCTCGATGCCAGTAAAGCCATGCCTGGGCACATGCCAAGAGGAGGTTGGTGTCTGTTTACAGGACCTGCTTGGGTTGGCAGTTCCCATGGGGAAGGGAAGAGGCGTGGTGGGAGCTTGGCCCAGCTTGGCAAACAAAGCCAGTGGGAACACAAGCCTGTCCTCCTCCATGGCCAGGGGTGGAAAAAAGAGTGTGTAAAGCCAAGCCCAATGCCCCTCTTTCCATCTGTCCCCCAGATGTCCTACGCTTCGACAACACCTATAGCTTTGTCCACGCCAAGAAGGTCAGCTTCACAGTGGAGGTCCTGCTCCCTGACGAGGGCATGCAGAAATATGATAAGGAGCTCACCCCTGTCTAGGTGGCTCCCTCATTTCTCAGAGACCTCCTAACCCTTTGATTTCTCTGTTTATATCCTACACTCCCTCCCTCCCTGAAATTGATTGTTAGTCCTCCTGACTCTGTGACGTTAGTGAGTACAGAAAGAGATGCCCTGGGGAAAACTCATCTACTGTGGTCAGATCAAGAAAGGTATGAGAGGCACAACCTTGGAGGGTACCAAGGTTGCAGAAGAGGAAAAAGCAAGGGTAAAGGCAAGAAGTGGGTGTCATGAAACTCAATAAATAGCAAAATGAATCCCCTAGCCTTTGTCCTCACCTACCCTAAGGCAGGTGTGTATGCTTGAATTCCTTCCGTATGGCTGTGAGCAACTTGGGTTGGAGACATATCTAAATCCTTTTTACTTCCACTCCCTATATATAGTAGATGCTCAGTGTATATTTGTGGCATTGAATGGAGGACCAGAAGGTAGGGTGCAGGTGACTCAACAGCTGTACATGATTAGGAGGAGCCTATGTGGGGTGGATTTCAGCACCTTGGACAGGAGCAGATGTGTGGTGGGGTTGGACTCTCTTCTGGAGACCCAGACAATTCAGTCTCCAGATTTCTGGCAGTGGCTGTCTTTTGAGGGCCCCAGCCACAAAGGCCACATGCCTCTGATAGGAGCTGCCTACATCAGGCTTTGTCTGACTTGCACGCTCAGCTTCCCACCCTAACCCACTTCCCTTGTTGCACATAGCTTATGTTTTAGGGACTTTCCTGGAAGCAAAGGCAGTCACATCTGGCATAATCATAATAAAGAAAACAACTATCATTTGGCGAGTGCTCTCTGTGTACCAGAAACTGTGCCAAGAGCTTTGTGAGTTTAGCATGTTTTATTCTCATGCCATCCCCAAGGCCCTTTATGGATAAGGAAATGGAGGCTCAGAGGGGTGAAGCTACTCACTCAACATCTTACAGCTTGGGTGGCAGATCCAGGACCTGGGGCAGGGGGTGTTCGTTTGTTTGTTTATTTGTTTGTTTGTTTGTTTTTTGAGACAGGGTCTCGCTCTGTCGCCCACCCAGGCTGGAGTGCAGTGGTACAATCATGGCTCACTGCAGTCTTGACCTCTTGGGCTCAAGCCATTCTCCCACCTCAGCCTCCTGAGTAGCTGGGACTACAGGTGGGCATCACCACACTTGGCTAATTTTTTTGTATTTTTTTGTAGAGATGGGGTTTCCCCATGTTGTCTCAAGCTCCTGGCCTCAAGTGATTTACCCCCCATCAGCCTCCCAAAGTGCTGGGATAACAGGCCTCAGCCACCATGCCTGGCCTGTTTTTGCTTTGTTTACTCCAATGACATTGCTCTCAGTTGCCTTGTAATACCGCCTCCTGCCTATAATCCCAGCCCTTGGGGAGGCTGAGATGGGCGGATCGCTTGAGCCCAGGAGTTTTAGACCAGCCTGGGCAACATAGTAAGACCACATCTCTATCAAAAAAATTTAATATAGTAAGAATATGACCTCCTAAGATTCCACTTTTACAAAGGCAGTGAGAAGGCATGATTTATTTGTTCTAGACCTTCCAGTAGAAGTGTCCTGCATGTCACCCTCTCCAGTCCCTGTTTGTGGGTAGAGGAGGTGATAGGCCATAGAGACCCACAATACTGAAGCAGCTTGTCCAAGGAAATTCACAGCAGAGTGGGGCAGGGCTTGTGTTCCTCAGCTCAGCATCCTGTCCGCTGCTCACATGGCATCTGTGAAGCACAACCCCCTGACGCTCACCATGACCCTGGGTGACTAGGGCAAAGGCCAGGACTCCAGAGTTTCCTTCCCAACTTTCTGCTGTGATTCGGGGACGTGAAGAGGCTGGCTTGAGCCCCAGTCCCTGACACAACTCTTGCCAGGGGAGCCGGATCACACCCGGGAATGGGGATGAATGGGAACCAAAGGCTGGTGCCATGAGAGGCTCCTTGGAAACAAACAAACGGAGGGCTGAGCTCATCCGTGGGCAGGCTATGAGGTCTGACTCAGGCTAGTCAAGCAAATATTCAGCAGCAGCAAGCACTTTCCCACATGCACTTATGGGTGCAAAATCTGATATCTGCTTTATAGATGGGAAACTGAGCTCCCAAAGGCACTGGCCTTGTATCTTCAGCCTACAGGTGACAGAAATAGTCCTGGAGCTAAGGCTGCCCCTTACCCCGTCACCTCTTCACCCCCACCACTCTTCTATAACAATTTGTCAGAATGGGACAAGACTGCCTTCTTCCTGAGCTGGCAGGGAAGGAGGAGGGAGGAGGAAGGAGAAAGGAAAAAGGAAGGAAGAGAAGAGAAAATGAGGGTTGTCAGATTTAGAAAGGAAAAAAAAAAAAAAGCATGGCCAGGTGCAGTGGCTCATGCCTATAATCCCAACACTTTAGGAGGCCAAGGCAGGCGGATCACTTGACGTCAGGAGTTCGAGACCAGCTTGGCCAATGTGGTGAAACCCCGTCTCTACTAAAAATACAAAATTTAGCCTGGGGAGGTAGCACATACCTGTAATCTCAGCTCCTCAGAAGGCTGAGGCATGAGAATCTCTTGAATCCAGGAGGTGGAGATTGCAGTGGGCTGAGATCACACCACTGCACTCCAGCCTGAGCAACAGAGCAAGACTCCATCTAAAAAAAAAAAAAAAAAAAAAAAAGACATACTTAAAATGTATCCATTGTTTATCTAAAATTAAAATTGACCTATGCATCTTATATTTTATCTGACAATCCTACCAATGAGGGAAGATGGAGGGAAGAGAGAGGAAAGGGAGGAGGATGGAAAGAGGGGGATGGGTTCACCTTCTTGGAAGACGGTGGCAGCACCCACAATTTGGGCCAATGATGTCATGGAATCCTTGGGAGAGGATGGCTTAGTGTGGGTGATGCAGGGTCGGGGGACAGGGTGGTCTCACCCTTGACCACCAAAGGAAAGGCCTCGATGTTGAAGCAGGGTCTGAGGTAGAGAGTGTGGACCCTTTGTGCCTTTGGGACTAAGATGAGCAGTGCTGTTGCCAGAGCTCCTCTGTGGCAGCTGAGTGGAGGGGACTTGCACCAGGAGGTGGAGCAGTGCAAAGAACCTAAGGCCAGGGCCAGAGCTGAGATCTGCAAAGTGCCCATCAGCATCCGCTGATGCCCACCCCTGGCAAGCCAGCTCCCACTGTGTGCACACAGCCAGTAAGAGGCAGGCTTCCCAAGCTCCAGCTTCTAGCCTCCAGTCTTACTCAGGGTCTAGATGCTCAGCTCCAGTCCTGAATCTCCAGGAGGCAGCATTGGGGAAGGAAAGAGACCCACTTTGTAGCTTTGGCCAATGGTCACTAATAGAGTTTGGATATTTGTCCCCTCCAAATCTCAGGAGGAAATGTGGCCCCCGATGTTGGAGGTGGGGCCTAGTGGGAGGTGTTTGGGTCATGGCGGTAGATCCTTCATGAATGGCTTGGTGCCTGCCCGCCATAATGAGTGAGTTCTTATTCTACAATTGCTTAAAAGAGGCTGGCACCCCTCCCCTCTTCTTGCTCCCTTCCTCTCACCATGTGACACGCTGGCTCCCCTTCCTCTTCTGCTATGAGTAAACGCTTCCTGAAGCCCTCACCAGAAGCTGAGCAGATGCCGGCACCATGCTTTCTGTACATCCTGCAGAACAATGAGCCAAGTAAACCTCTTTTCTTTGTAAATTACCCAGCTTCCAATATTCCTTTTTTCGTGTTTGGTGTTTGTTTTTTTTTTTTTTTTTTTGGAGACAGGGTCTCACTCTGTCGCCCAGGCAGGAATGCAGTGGTGCAATCTAGGCTCACTGCAACCTCCACCTCCTGGGTTAAAGCAATTCTCCCACCTCAACCTCCCAAGTAGCAGGGAACACATGTGCCTGCCACCATGCCTGGCTAATTTTTGTATTTTTAGTAGAGATGGAGTTTCACCATGTTGGTCTTGAACTCGTGGCTTCAGGTGATCCACACACCTTGGCCTCCCGAAGTGCTGGGATTACAAGCGTGAGCCACCTTACCTGGCCCAATATTCCTTTATAGTAACACAAAATGGACTAACACAGCCCCCTCATTCCAGAAGTGATAAGCTAGCAGCATAGGGCAGGAAAACCAAGGCCTGCAGGCCCCCCATTGTGTGAGAAGGAAAGTTAACTTAGAAGTTCCTGTTCCAACAGCCCAGAAATGCCAAGGCAGAGCCAGGGAAGGAAAAGTCTCACTGTTCTTGGGAAGCTAGAGTTGGTGGCCACAGGCCATTTCCCATAGAGGAGTCAAATTTCTGCTGAGGCCAAAAGGCGAGGCTCCCAACCGTGTAGACCTCAGGCCAGGGACACCGGTGGGCAACACTATGCTGGTGCTAATGAGGCCCCAGCCCTGCCTCTTACTCCTTCCCCAAGAACCCACCACCACACTGGCCCCTTCAGAGACCACAAATGCATGTCACAAAGTTAAGACATCAGGTTTTTCCCCTAACAACTAGTACCAAAAAGCACAAGGTTAAGGCAACACAGGCCAGGTGCAGTGGCTCGTGCCTGTAATTCCAGCACTTTGGGAGGCTGAGGCAGCTGGACCACTTGAGGTCAGTTCAAGACCAGCCTGGCAACATGGTGAAACCCTATCTCTACAAAAATATAAAAATTAGCTGGGCGTGGTGGTGCATGCCTGTAATCCCAGCTACCTAGGAGACTGAGGCAGGACAATCACTTGAACCTGGGAAGTGGAGGTTGCAGTGAGCCGAGGTCACATCACTGCACTCCAGCCTGGGCGACAGAGACTCCGTCTCAAATATATATAATATATTATATATAATATATTAAATATTATATATTATATTATTTAATATTTATATTAATTTATATTATATATTAAATATTAAATATAATATATTAAATATTAAATATAATATATATTAAATATTAAATATAATATATATTAAATATTAAATATTAAATATATTATATATTAAATATTTAATATATTATATATTATATATAATATATTGTATATCTATTATATAATATAATATATTATATATAATATATTATACATCTATTATATAATATATAATATATAATAATATATTATATATCTATTATATGATATATAATAATATATTATATATCTATTATATAATATATAATAATATATTATATATCTATTATATAATATATAATAATATATTATGTATTATATAATAATATAATATATTATATATTATTATATATTATATTATAATATATAAAATATATAATATACAATAATATATAATATATAATAATATATTATATATTATATATTATATATAATAATATTATTATATATTATAGATTATAGATTATATATAATAATATATATTATGGATTATAGATTATATAATAATATTATAGATTATATATAGTAATATTATAGATTATATCTAATAATATTATAGATTATATCTAATAATATTATAGATTATATATAATAATATTATTATAGATTATATATAATATTATTATAGATTATATATAATATTATTATAGATTATATATAATAATATTATTATAGATTATATATAATAATATTATTATAGATTATATAGAGAGAGAAACAAGGGTTATTTTTTCGTTGTCTTCTGAAGGGGCCACTGCCTCCAGGTCTTCCTCCAAAATAGACTGAGATTCCATATCAATTTCCTCCTCAGAAGAGAGTCTCTCTGTTGCGCAAGTCACCAGCCCCATCTTGTGGGCCTCCCAGCTGGCAGGGCACCAAAACAGAGCCTCTTAAGCTGCAGAGAGGGCAGGATGGCTGGAAGACCTCGAGTGCCTTCCTCAGGGTCACAGGAGCAGCAACAGAGTGACACCAGTGAAGGCCAGTGCAACCAGCAAAAAGTCCTTCAGCATCTTGCAGGAGGCTGGGAAGGAGAGGTCCAAGAGCACCCCAGGACTGCCCAGAGGTGCGGGGCAGGTTGTACAGGACAGCTAGGGTGAGTCCAGAGGTAGGAAAACAAAGGCCAGGAGTGCCTGGGGAAGCAAGGGTATGGCTGAGACCAGAAAGAACAGTAAGACAAGACCAAGCATGACTATCCATGAACCTGGACAGCAGTTGGGGGGAGGAGAGATTAGTTCTGTTAGTGCCTAGGCCCCCTAGACCCTGCACCTACCTTTAAACCATAACACTATAGCATCTTGACCTTCAGCAGGGCCGGGCCACCATATAGGTGTCCCCTTCCCCAGGAAACTCTGAAGAGAGTAAGCTGTCAGCCCTATCTCTCCTCCCTTTCCTGCTTGGAAGGAGGAAAATTCTTCCACGGCCATTAACTTCCCAAGGCAGGCCTGTGTTCAGCTGCTAAAAGCAGGCTGGGCTGGGCACGGCGGCTCACGCCTGTAATCCCAGCACTTCGGGAGGCCGAGGTGGGTGGATCATTTGAGGTCGGGAGTTTGAGACCAGCCTGGCCAACATGATGAAACCCTGCCTCTACTAAAAATACAAGAATTAGCTGGGCGTGGTGGTGCATGCCTGTAATCCTACCTACTCGGGAGGCTAAGGCAGGACAATCACTTGGACTCGGGAGGTGGAGGTTGCAGTGAGCTGAGATTGCGCCATTGCACCCCAGCCTGGGCAACGGAGCGAGACTCCATTTCAAAAAAATAAATAAATGAAAGGAGGCTGTGGCAATGAGGTGTCACCTAGCAGAGAAACTGAAGAACACAAATGTCTATCAATGTGGGACTGGTTAAATTCTCCTACTTCCATTCCTAGACTACTGTGCCATCACAAATGCAAAAGAGGTATCAACCTACAGAGCTGCCTAGAGAGTACTGTAGAAGCACGTTATAGAATGTTACAAAACTACATTATATTAATGTGTATGTCTAGCAAAAGCCACCTGGATATGACAATACTAAGATGTTAGTTAACGATGATCTAGGTGGTAGGATTGTATCCTGTTGAGGTACCTGAATTTTCTAGTGTTACCAAGCAAAACGGGCTCACTGCCCAGTGTGCTAGAAGCCAATACTAATTGGGCTCTTGAGAATAGAAAAACTTTCATTGCAGCTGGGCACAGTGGCTCACACTTGTAATCCCAACATTTTGGGAGGCCGAGGTGGGCTGATTGCTTGAGTATAGGAGTTCGAGACCAACCTGAGCAACGTGGTGAAAACCCCATCTCTACAAAAAACAACAAAAAAATTAGCAAGCCATGGTGGCATGTACCTGTTGTCCCAGCTACTCAGGAGGCTGAAGTGGGAGAATCACTTGAGCACAGAAGGTTGAGGCTGCAGTGAGCCAAGATCACACCACTGCACTTTAGCCTGGGTGACAGAGTGAGAACCTGTCAAAAAAAAAAAAAAAAGAAAGAAAGAAAGAAAGAGGAAGAGCTTTTATTGCAAGTCAACTCGTCAACTCCAAGGAGACAGGAGTCCAGCTCAAATCTGTCTCCCCGTGCTGGCTTCAAGGCAGTATTTTTATTAGAAAATGTGCGGGTGGTAGATTCTGAGATTAGTAGGTGACAGGAAGAAGGGAAGGGGAGGTCTGGAAAAGTCCTTGACCTGTAATCCCAGCACTTTGGGAGGCTGAGGCGGGTGGATCACGAGGTCAGGAGTTTGAGACCAGCCTGGCCAACATGGCAATACCCTGTCTCTACTAAAAATACAAAAAATTAGCCAGTCGTGGTGGCCGGAGCCTGTAATCCCAGCTACTCAGGAGGCTGAGGCAGGAGAATCGAACCCGGGAGGCGGAGGTTGCAGTGAGCCGAGTTTGCACCACTGCACTCCAGCCTGGGTGACAGAGCAAGAGTCCATCTCAAAAAAAAAAAAAAAAAAAAGAAAGAAAGAAAAGAAAATTCCTTGAGCACGTGCAGTTATCTCTTCATGCCTCCTCATGGATCGCATGTGCAAAATTTAAGGGGCATTAGTATGAAACACGCGGTGGAAATTCAGGCTACAACGTCACCAAGTTCATTCTGCACAGATTCTGGTTGGCCATCTTGGTTCCAACCAATTCCAGCCGGATTTTTCTTTTCCTTTCTTCTTTCTTTTCTTTTCTTTTCTTTTCTTTTTTCTTTTTTTTTTTTTTTTTTGAGATGGAGTCTTACTCTCTTGCCCATGCTGGAGTGCAGTGGCGCGATCTTGGCTCACTGCAAGCTCTGTCTCCTGGCTTCAAGCCATTCTCGTGCCTCAGCCTCCCGAGTAGCTGGGACTACAGGTGCACGTCCCACCATGCCTGGCTAATTTTTGTATTTTAAGTAGAGACAGAGTTTTGCCATGTTGGCCAGGCTGGTCTCGAACTCCTGGCCTCAAGTGATCTGCCCACCTTGGCCTCCCAAAGTGCTGGGGTTACAGGCTTGAGGCACCGGGCCCGGCCATCAGCCAGTTTTTTTCTTGATCTCGTAAGTGCAGGGAGTGTCCGTGTTTCGGCAAGCTGTTTCTTTTCTTATCTGCTATCCTGCAAACTCAAGAATTTCTGTTACTGGTTTCTTACTCTTCGGGGCACAGTCTTAGTTTCAGCTTTTCAGCAAGTTCTTTCTTTTCTTATCTGCTATTCTGTAAGTCCAAGAATTTAGTCTTTGGTTTCTTTAACTCTTTGGAGCCTGGTTTACCAGGACAGTTGTCTATTTGCTTTATTATGTTTGTTTGGTAAGGGGGGGCCGGGGACAAGGTGTTGGAGCACCTGTCATCGGACCTGCCACTTGTGCATCCTCCCCAAAGCACCTGCAAGACAGAAGAGGCTTAAGGTCAGTGTCCATCCCCTCCCCGACTAACCCCACCCAAGCCATGATCTCTTCACGCTCCCCTGCCCCAACTCCTCATCTTGTCCACGCATCTTCCAGCCCAGAACCTGTTCTCATGGTGGGTGCAGTGGCGTTCATCTGCCCACACACGCCAAAGGTCCCCAGAGCAGCGCCACCCCCGGCAGCCCCCCTGACCTGGCCTGCCCCCACTGTACCTTGGTGCCACATTTCTCTGTGTGGGAATAGCCAAAGTCACAGCAGTCACACACTGAGCTTTCCCACTAATCACCTGCAAGCTGTCAGCTGCCAACAGCCCAGGCAGAAAGACCTGCCCAGTCAGGAGGGTTGGGGACAACATTCTGCCCGGGCAAGGGGCCTGCCCCAAATCCCAATCCCAGCATGGCCACCATCTCTGCTCTGTGCAGCAGCAGGTGGTCACTTGGCCTCTCTGGACCTTCCTTTCCTTGGCTTATGTGTGCTAGGAAGAGCCCACCTACAGTTTCAGGGTAAGGATTCCCCACCGTGTGGATGAAGTATCCTGGCACAAGGTCAGCCAAGGCCTTCCATTTCCCCCTATTACCCAGCTTCCAGAACCCAGGCCTTGAGCCAGCAGGGCTCACACAGCATGCCTTTCAGGACCATGAAATTCCTTCAGCTGAAGGAATTTGCCCAGGGTCCCATAACTTGAAACGGAGAGGTCTTACTTGTATGAGGAGATGTTGTAAAAATAGGATTTCCAGCCAGACACGGGAGCTCATGCCTGTAATCCCAGCACTTTGGAAGGCAGAGGCAGGTAGATCACTTGAGGTCAGGAGTTCGAGACTAGCCTGGCCAATATGGTGAAACACTGTCTCTACTAAAAATATACAAATTAGTTGGGCAAGGTGGCACGCACTTGTAATCCCAGCTACTGGGGAGGCTGAGGCAGAATTGTTTGAACCTGGGAAGTGGAGGTTGTAGTGAGCCAAGATCATGCCACTATACTCCAGCCTGGGGGACAGAGAGAGATTCCGTCTCAAAAAAAATAAAAATAAGATTTCCAGCCAGGCTCAAAGGATCGCGTCCAGCTCCAGACCCTCGTCCAGCAGATGAGGTAAACCCAGAAGTAGGGGCCGTGGAAGAGCTGGGTGAGAGGGCTCGTCCTGGACTCCATGCCCCCGCTACCTCAACATAGCCATCCCATGTTGAACTACATCGTGCCCATTTATTTCCCATCAACTGAGGGCCTAGAAAAGCAAGCGTGTGGCTGAGACCAGAAAGGGCAGTGGGACAAAACCAAGAACAAGTGTCCGTGAACCTGGACAGCAGTAGCGGGGAGGGACCACAGAGAGCAACTGACATCAGGAAGCCAGGCCAGCCTGTGACTATCACACCCAGTCCAGAACAGGCCCTCTGAGGAGAGACAATTCTCCTGATTCTCCCTGATCCAGGAGTATTTCCTCACCACAGCGCTGATTTACAACAGGGACAGATTGGGGCCAGGCGTGGTGGCTCACATCTGTAATCCCAACACTTTGGGAGGCCAAGGCAGGTGGATCACCTGAGGCCAGGAGTTCGAGACAAGCCTGGCCAACATGGTGAAACCCCATCTCTACTAAAAATACAAAAATTAGTTGGGCATGGTGGTGCAAGCCTGTAGTCCCAGCTACTCGGGAGGTTGAGACAGGAGAATCACTTGAAACTGGGAGGCGGAGGTTGCAGTGAGCTGAGATCGCGCCACTGCACTCCAGCCTGGGCGACAGAGCAAGACTCCATCTCAAAAAAAAAAAAAAGAAAAGAAAAGAAAAGAAAAGAAAAAAGAACGGACAGACTGGAACCCTTGGGGAGCTTCTGTAATCAGGTACTGGCTAAGTTACAGCTTGACCAGACAAGTAGGGTTCTGTGGAGCTGTGAACTTTCACAAAATACCTTTTATGCATGAAAAAGTACTTGATTAAGTTATTGTATAATGTCATTCTATTATAGAATGACACATAGAATCCTATTTTATAAAACACTAACTTAGCATATGCCTTAGTATTGGTGACCCTCTGGAGTTCAGGATTTTCATTTCTTTTTGTTTGTTTTGTTTTCTCATAACCACCTCAATTTTACAGATGTGGAAAGTGAGTCTGGGAAGTCTTGCTGTCATCTGCCCGTGATTATATGCAGCCATGAGCTACAGAACTCACACTCAAACTCGCAAGTGATGGCATACCAAATGGTACGAAAATGCAAGCTAAGTAGGCCTTTACCCCTCCCTGCCAGTAACTAATTTTTGTCTGTGTGAGTAACTGGCCTGTGTGTAAGAGGACTCACCCCCTACGTGGTCTCCAGTTAATTCTTTTTCCCATTTGGGCTCCTGACCGCCTTGCCATGCTGCTTCTAAGAGGGGTTATCTATACTCAGAGGGCCTAGGGCAGACCAAGGAAGGGAAAGAAGTTTTGGAGGTTTGTTTGTTTGTTTTTTAGAGACAGGGCTTTGCTTTGTGGCCCAGGCTGGAGTGCAGTGGTGCGATCATAGCTCACTGCAACCTTGAGCTCTTGGGCTCAAGTGATTCTCCCCTCTCAGCCTCCTGAGTGGCTGAGACCACAGGTACACATCACCATGCCTGGGTTTTTTTTCTTTCTTTCTTTCTTTCTTTTTTTTTTTTGGTAGAGATGAGGTATTGTTACATTGCCCAGGCTGGTCTCAAATTCCTGACCTCAAGCAATCCTCCTACCTTGGCCTCCCAGTGCTAGGATTACATGTGTGAGCCACCACTCCTGGTCTGGGCTTTTTTTTTTTTTTTTTTTAGGAGAATGTAAGGCATTTGTTTAGTGTTTACTGAGCATCTACTGCATGCCAAGCTCTGCTCAGGAGGCCAAGAGAGCAGGATAGGAGTGAGCCCTGCACCTGGGGTTTGGCCTGGCTGGGGAGCCCTAGCCTCAGGAAGCAGGACTGCCCTGGACCCCAGGAGGCCCCTGCTCAACCTGCGACAAGACTGAAAGGCTCCCCAGATGCACTGTGACGGTCAAGGGAGAGAAATGGGTGACCTGGGATCCTGGTGGCTTCAGATCTCATTGGGGGAAGGAGCAAGGGACCCCAGGGGTCAGAGGCATTGGGGGGGTAGGGCTGTCAGAGGGCACCCAGCAGAGTGACTCACAGGCTATGAGGAAAGAAGTCTCCTCTTGCTTGTATCTTCAGGATGCCAAGACCTGCAGCCCAGGCCTGGGGTGGTGGTTATCCCGGAGCGGCCTTACCAGGTGCACAGCTGGCCAAGGGAGGCTTGGTCATGGGCAGAGAGGGCAGGAGGAAGGCCCTTGCTCCACCACCCCCTCTCCCAAGGGAGTCCTATGCCCAGAACTTACCAAGTAGCAAGACTAGAGCAACCAGCAGAAGACCCTTGGGGGCAGCCATCATGAAAAAAAAAAAAAACATTGCCCGCCACCCCAAAGCCTCCTTAAATAGGCCCAGAAGAGGCTGGGGAAGGAACCTGGAGCCCACAGATAAGCCTAGGGCATGGCTGAGCTGGGCCCAAGCCAAACACTTCCACAGTCCTCTTCCAGCGACACCCACCCCAGCCCTGCCAAACACACACACCTATCTGCAATGCCCCCTGATTTTAAGGAAGGCTCCAAAGTCCTCCTCACTCACGATGGATTTACTAACACTAGTAAGAGTTGTAAACCAAAAATAAAATTCTAAGATCCCCCACCAAACATCTGAATGGACCCTTCCTCTCGGCCAGGGGCATTGCAAAGTTTACCTGAAAGAGTAGTTTAGGCCATGATGGGAAGGGAGTGGGGTCGGACGTGCGTCATGATACCCTCCTCCCTTTCGGAATTCAGGAAAAGCTGACCAACATGAACATCGACACAGACCCTAAGTCCATGATAAAACCTTGGTCTTGGCCCAGCGCGGTGGCTCACGCCTGTAATCCCAGCATTTTGGGAGGCCGAGGCGGGTGGATTACCTGAAGTCAGGAGTTCAAGACCAGCCTGGCCAACATGGAAAAACCCTATTTCTACTAAAAATACAAAAATTAGCCAGGCCTGATGGCGGGCACCTGTAATCCCAGCTACTCAGGAGGCTGAGGCAGGAGAATAGCTTGAACCCGGGAGGCAGAGGTTGAAGTGAGCCAAGATCGCACCACTGCACTCCAGCCTGGGTGACAGAGGGAGACTTTGTCTCAAAAAAACAAAAACAGACAAAAACAAAAAACCCTTGGGCTCCATGACCCTTATCCTAACCCAGACTTTCTTTTATTTTTTTTGAGACAAAGTCTCGCTGTTGTCACCCAGGCTGGAGTGCAATGGCGCAATCTCAGCTCACTGCAACCTCCACCTCCCGCTAACCCAGACTTTCTATTGATAATTTCTTTCTATTGATAATTCTTTCAACCAATTGCCAATCAGAAAATTTTTAAATCTACCTATTACCTGGAAGCCCCTGCTTGGAGTTGCCCCATCCTTCCACATCAAACCAATGTAAATCTTACATGTATTGATTGATGTCTTATGTCCTCCCAAATGGTATAAAAGCAACCTGTACCCCAACCATCTTGGGCACATGTTGTCAGGACCTCCTGAGGCTGTGTCATGGCCACATCCTTAACCTTGGCAAAATAAACCCTCTAAATTGATTGAGACCTGTTTCAGATACTTTTGGGTTCACAGAGTTAATGCTGATGAAGGGTCACTGCACAGTGGACTTCATTTTCTCATCTGCAGGAAGGTGATAATGATGGCACCTGTCTCATGAGGCTACATAATGCGATGGAGGTTACATAATGCGATGCTTAGCTCAGTGCATGGCACACAGAAAGAGCTCCATCCACGTGCTCTGTGGGTGTCCAAGGGGAGGGCTGAGCGCGTGATGGAGGGGACTGTAGGGCAAGATGATTCCGTCTTGGGGAGGGAGCCAAGCAGGGTTCATGGAGCGGGTACCGTTAGAGCTGGACCTTGAAGGCTGGGAAAAAAGGGAAATGGGATGGGGGGCGGGCATTGCTGGCAGATGACATGGCCTGAGCAAAGGCAGGGAGGCAGGGTGGGCAGGGCACATCCAGAGAATGACGAGGATTCAGGGGAGGCAATAGCATGGGTGCAGGGATGTGTGTGGTGAGAGATGAGGCCAGGGGATTTTGAATGCCAAACTGATGTGTTCAGACTGGATCCTGGGGACCGTCATAAGCCATGAAAAGTATTGGGACAGAGGAGGGACCTGGAGAGATTCAGCCACCAGTGTGATCAGATCAGAATGTTTCTTTATGCAATGGGCAATTAAGGAATTCCCAAGCTTTTAGCTCACACAAATAAGACCCCAACAATCCTCAGATGCACATCTCTGGACAATTGTCCAATTAGTTCCTCTGAATAAATTCTTAAAAGTGGAATCCTTGAACCATGTAATTGGCATTTTTTATATCTGGGTTAGACACAGATGGAACGATTCAATCATTTGCCCTTGAAGTGGATGTCTCTTGCCACAAAAATAATGGCCAGTATTTGTGGAGCTCTTGCTGTGAGCCCCACTCTGCCTGGATGCTTTGTGAATCATTTTGTCTGTAATCCTCACAACAGCTTCAGGTCATTACAGAGAACTGTGCAGAGAGAAAACCAATGCTCAGAACATTAGGTAACTTGCCCAAGGTCACACAGCCTATGAATCATCCCCTGACTGTGTAGAGGGTCATAGGCTGGAAGGGCAGTGGGCAAAAGCAGTCCTAGGCTGGGGGAGGTATCGGGAGTTAGGGGACTGCGTGAGCTTGGGTCAGTGATTTTAACTCTAGGAAACAGAGACCTAATAACAACATCCATCTCAAGATGAGGTTATGAAGATTATTATTATTTTTTGTACCCCATTTCTGTTGAAGGTTGTTAAGATTAAATGAGTCACATCGCATGAATTGCTTAGAACAGGACCCGGTGCCCACTATGAGCAATTCACTAAGAGTTTATCAATAATCAGTTTGAATCGGCCAACATGGGCACGTTGGGAGGTGCTCCCCCCTTGTGGTTATTGCTAGTATTGCGTGAAGATGGCCACTTGGGGCCCGACTCCCAGCATGCACTAGGACAAAGGCCACAAAACCCGGGGGTGGGAAAAGACCCCGCCCCATCCCAGCTGAGGTCCGCTCCATCCTCTTACACAGGGAATGGCGATTTCCCATCACAACCACCATCTGCCACCTCCTGTCTAGTTGACCTCTCTGTACCTGTTTCCCCACCCATATGAATGACTTAGCACAGAACTCAAAGCCCCAAAGAATTGCTTCTGGTCCCCTGCCCAGGAAAGAGGTAAGCTTTCCCTGGAGAAAGAGCTTCCCAGTTGTACATGGCTAGAGTGTTTGAAGGAGGTATTCCAGCTCTGTGGATACCCCTTCAAGTAAGGTTGCCAGGTAAAATACAGGATGCCCAGTTTAGTATAAGTATGTGCCATGCAATGTTAGGGGTACACTTCTAAAACATCCTTTGCTGTTTATCCGAAATTCACATTTGAGCACCCTGTTATTTGCTAAACTCAGCAACTACCCCTGGGTGTTTGGGGCAGAGGCAGGGGCTGGGCTGCCTGGGAGGGGGCGACTGCCCATTCTGGGCCAGGAACCTGGGATGTCTCACTTCAGCCCTCCCAAGCTGGTGGGAGGAGTCTCTGTTGCTAACCCCACTTCACCATGAGGCCAATGGCGTCTGAAAGCCACACAGATGATGTGCAGCCTCCAGGATAAATGCTCACAGAGGAGGCAGCTACTACAGCAATGGGGGGAGTGTTGGCCTAGAGGGAGCCCAGAGTGAAACCACTTTTGCAAAAATTATAACAGTGAGAAAATTATGGCAGTGAAAGAGATATGATCTAGCCAAGTCCTGATCTCGCCCCAGGCCTTCAAGCTGCCCCTAATTATTCCTGGGCTTAGGCCAAGCTAACTTTGGGAGACAGTTTATAGTTTAAATGATAATAGCCCTTCCCCAAAACTCAACCACCTTTGCGAAGCTAATAAGAGACCACCAGGGTAGGAGAACAGAGAAGGCTGAATTCTCCTAAGGTGTAGACATAAATGATAGCCAGTCATTATTCTGGAGGTCAGAAGATATGCAGCTTCCCCAAGTACTCCTGCAGGTAACATCACTATTTTAGAACCTAAGATTGGCCTTTTGTTGTTATTTTTGTCTTGTTTTGTTTAGAAACACCTTTTATTTGGGTAACATGTCCCAAAACAGGTCAGTTAATAAAACAGATTCTAAAGAATATGGCCCTATGCACAGCCTTCCCTCCCCGAAAATAACCTTTGGGAATAGGAATTCCCTTTCCCCCTTGCGCTCCTCTAATTTATTTAAAAGAATGTTTTGGGAGCTCATGTTTATCATCTGGGCAGGGGGGTGCCATGTCCATGTGCCGTATTCCTGGGGTACAGCAGTGGTAGGTGGCTGCAGCTCTCCAACCCTCTCCCAACCCTGGCCCAGCAAACATTTCTCTCCCACCCCAGGATCTGGGACCAAAACAAAGAGCAAGCAGGCCCCCTCCACTGAGGTGCTGGGCAGGGCTCAGTGGCACATCACTGTGCTTTGAGAAAGAGGGAGGGGATTTGTTTGGCACTTTAAAAATAGAGTGAGCAAGGCTGGGCGCGGCGAGTCACGCCTGTAATCCCAGCACTTTGGGAGGGTGGAGCAGGCGGATCACGAGGTCAGGAGTTCAAGACCAGCCTGGCCAACATGGTGAAACCCCAATTCTACTAAAAATACAAAAATTAGCCAGGCGTGGTGGCAGGCGCCTGTAATCCCAGCTACTCGGGAGGCTGAGGCAGAAGAATCGCTTGCACCCAGGAGGCAGAAGTTGCGGTGAGCCGAGATCGTACCACTGCACTCCAGCCTGGGTGACAGAGCGAGACTGCTTCTCATGAAAAATAATATATATAGAGAGAGAGTGAGCAGGACTGGAGAGAAGATATCAAAATGGCAGGGAGAGACCATTTGGCACTCGTCCCCTGGGAGAAGGGAAGAGGGAGATAGATACGAGAGTAGGAGCTAAGAAAAGTACGAGGGGTCCACTCCAAGTGACAGGTGCTGAAATGGGGTAGAACCAACAGGACACTGACTCTGGGTTTATGTCCTCTCTATCCCTCTATCCCACAGCAGCCGTGTGCCCACCTCCAGCCTCCCATGTCAGCCTGTCCCTATGTTTAGTGTCCAACCTCTGATTCTGGCAGTCAAGCGTCTTCCCCAATCCTAACATCAGAGACTTTCAAACCACAGTGACTCCATCTTGAGTAGGGACTGGGTAAAATAAAGCTGAGACCTACTGGGCTGCATTCCCAGGAGGTTAGGCATTCTTAGTCACAGGATGAGATAGAAGGTTGGCACAAGATACAGGTCACAAAAAGTTTGCTGATAAAACAGGATGTGGTGGCTGGGTGCGGTGGCTCACACCTGTAATCCCAGCACTTTGGGAGGCCGAGGCAGGTGGATCACTTGAGGTCAGGAGTTCGAGACAGTCTGACCAACATAGTGAAACCCCGTTTCTACTAAAAATACAAAATTAGCAGGACATGGTGGCATGTGCCTGTAATCCCAGCTACTCAGGAGGCTGAGGCAGGAGAATTGTTTGAACCTGGGAGGCAGAGGTTGTAGTGAGCCAAGATCACACCATTGCACTCCAGCCTGGGTGACAGAGCAAGACTCCGTCTCAAAAAAAAAAAAACAAAAAAAACCAAAAACCCAACATAACACAAAACCGGATGTGGTAAAGAAGCCAGCCGAAAACCACTAAAACCAAGATGGCAAAGAAAGTGACCTCTGATCATCCTCGTTGCTCATGATATGCTACTTATAGTACATTAGCATGCTAAAAGACACTCCCACCAGCACCACAACAGTTTACAAATGCCATGGCAACATCAGGACATTACCCTATATGGTCTAAAAAGAGGAGGAACCGTCAGTTAGGGGAACTGCCCACTTCTTTCCAAAACTGATGAGTAATTGTTTAATATATGTTTTTTGTTTGTTTGTTTGTTTGTTGGAGATGGAGTCCCTCTCTGTTGCCCAGGCTGGGGTGCAGTGGCGTGATCTCAGCTCACTGCAACCTCTGCCTCCCAGGTTCAAGTGATTCTCTTCCCTCAGCCTCCTGAGTAGCTGGGATTACAGGCACACACCACCGTGCTTGGGTAATTTTTTGTGTGTTTATAATAGAGACAGGGTTTCTCCATGTTGGCTTGGCTGGTCTCAAACTCCTGACCTCAGGTGATCCACCTGCCTTGGCCTCCCAAAGTGTTGGGATTACAGGCGTGAGCCATCACACTCAGCTTATGCTTGAAACTACCATTGCAAAATTATAACAGTGAAAGAGATCTGAACTAACCAACTACATCTTGCTTTTTTTTTTTTTTTTTGGAGATCGACTCTTGCTCTGTCGCCCTGGCAGGAGTACAGTCGCACAATCTTGGCTAACTGCAGCCTCTGCCTCCTGGGTTCAACTGATTCTTTTGCCTCAGACTCCCAAGTAGCTGGGATTACAGGTGCCCACCATCATGCCCAGCTAATTTTTGTATTTTTAGTAGAGACGGGGTTTCATCATGTTGGCCAGGCTGGTCTCGAGCTGCTGACCTCAACCTCAAGTGATCTGCCCACCTCGGCCTCCCTTAATGCTGGGATTACAGGCGCTCCACCATGCCCGTTCTCATCTTGCTTCTAACCTCCAAGTTGTCCTTGTTCATTCCTCGGCACAGGCTGAACTAACTTTGGAAGGAACTTAGTTTATAGTTTATAGTTTAAAACAAAGATGATAACAGCCCTTTCCCAGAACAAACCTCCCTCTTGCCTGGAGACTAGACTGCCTTTGTAGGACTAACAAATTAGCCAAAAGTTTATAAATTGTGGTTTAGGAGTCGTGCAGCTGGAGGCTACAAGATTCTGACCCTCCCCAAATTGCTCCTGGGGGTGACATCGCTATTGTAAAGCCTAAGATCGGTGCTTGAGGTATTTTGCAGACCCTGCACTTGACGGATCAGCTGGCACCACACAGATCAATAAACTGGCTCATCTGATCTTGTGGCTCCCACCTGGGAACTGACTCAGCACAAGAGGACAGCTTCCACTCCCTGTGATTTCATCTCCGACCCAACCCATCAGCACTCCTGACTCACTGGCGGCCCCCCACTCACCAAATTATCCTTAAAAATCCTGATCCCCGAATGCTCGGGGAGACTGATTTGAGTAATGATAAAACTCCAGTCTCCCACACAGCAGGCTCTGTGTGAATTACTGTTTCTCTATTGCAATTCCCGTCTTGATCAATCGGCTCTGTCTAGGCAGTGGGCAAGGAGAACCCGCTGGGCAGTTACATGATCAAGAAATAACTGTAAGTATACTCAGTCAAGCAGCCCATGCTGCTGCTCTGTCTATGGAGTATTCTTTAATTCTTTTACTTCCTTTTTTTTTTTTTTTGAGACGGAGTCTCACTCTGTCACCCAGGCTGGAGCGCAGTGGCACAATCTTGGCTCACTGCAACCTCCGCCTCCCGGGTTCAAGCGATTCTCCTGCCTCAGCCTCCCAAGCAGCTGGGATTACAGGTATGCGCCACCACAGCTGGCTAATTTTTGTATTTTTAGTAGAGGCAGGGTTTCACCGTGTCAGCCAGTCTGGTCTTGATCTCCTGACCTTTTGATCTGCCCACCTTGGCCTCCCAAAGTGCTGGGATTACAGGCATGAGCCACCGCGTCTGGCCTTCCTTTACTTTCTTAATAAACTTGCTTTCACTTTATGGACCCACCTCGAATTATTTCTTGTGTAAGAGCCAAGAACCCTCTCTTGGGGTCTGGATCGGGACCCCTTTCTAGTAACACTAATGTCCCTGATCATGTCTCTAGTGACTCAGCCGTCTCTCGTTCCTTGGGGCTGAGACCAGTCTCTCTTGCCTGCCCACTTCCCTCTCATGGGTCAGATAGTGCCAAAGGCTCCATCCTTAGCTCCTAGAGAAAGCTTTCGTCCTCAGAACCTCCCTTCCCATTCCTTCCTTTTCCCCACACACTGGGGCAGGGAGGGAGAACAGCGGCCTCTATTTCAAAGCCCCCTAGATATGGATGAAGAGCAGGCCAGTGAGCAGGGCACACCCTTCTAGGAGCAGAATGACCTTGAGGATCCTTTGCTCAGAAGTCGCCAGCTCCTGGAAAGATTTCCAGAAAGGTGGTATAGAGGAAGGTGCCAGCCACCATGCCCTCTAGCACAGACTGGGCCAGCTGGTGCAGAGGCCCTGCTGACTGCCAGAGCCGCACCCAGCCGGATGCCTAGAAGTGTCATGCACAAGAAGTGGATCCCACAGCCAGCCACCACCTGTAACCCTACGTGGCTCTGCAGCAGTTGCAGGGACAGGCTGACAGCCACGGTGCCCTTGTGGAGCAGCAAAGCCAGGCGCAGCTCCGCGGCCCAAGCCCCGTCTCACTGCAACCCCTTGAACACTGAGTATAGAGCCAGGGAGAAGACCAGTACATGGGCACGCAGAGCTGAGGGGGCTGCTGGGGCTCCACTCACCTGTGGGACCCCTGGCCCTTCGTGAAGATTGGCCTTTTGAGGTATCTTTTTTTTTTTCTTTTTTGAGACAGAGTTTCTCTCTCGTCGCTCAGGCTGGAGTTCAATGGCACGATCTCGGCTCACTGCAACCTCCGCCTCCTGGGTTCAAGCAATTCTCCTGCCTCAGCCTCCTGAGTAGCTGGGATTACAGATGCCCATCACCACGCCCAGCTAGCTTTTGTATTTTTAGTAGAGACAAAGGTTTCACCATGTTGGCCAGGCTGGTCTCAAACTCCTGACCTCAGGTGATCCACCCACCTCGGCTTCCCAAAGTGCTGGGATTACAGGTGTGAGCCATCACGCCCGGGCTTTTTTGAGGTATCTTTTCAGGCTTTTTGTATGTCTGACACCTATGGTTCCACCTGGACCTGCCAACTGCTCCTGTGGCCTCACCCAGAAGTGACTCAGCATACAGGATCATTTCCCACACCCCTATCATTGCACCCCCAACCAGTCAGCAGCAGGCCCCATTGCCTAGCCACCCCCGCCACCCTTCCCTTAAACTACCTTTGAAAAACCCTAGCCCCTAAATGCTCCAAGAGACTAATTTGAATAATAAAAAAACTCCAGTCTCAGTGGCTCCTGCTTGTAATCCCAGCACTTTGGGAGGTCAAGGCAGAAGGATCACCTGAGGTCAGGAGTTCAAGACCAGCCTGGCCAACATGGTGAAACCCCATTTCTACTAAAAATACAAAAATTAGCCAGACCTGGTGGCGCATGCCTGTAGTCCCAGCTACTTAGGAGGTTGAGACAGGAGAATGGGTTGAACCTGGGAGGAGGAGGTTGCAGTGAGCCGAGATCACGCCACTGCACTCCAGCCTGGGCGACAGAGCAAGCCTTCATCTCAAAAGAAAAACCAAAACAAACAAACAAAAAACAACTCTGGTCTCCTGTTCAGCCATTTCTGCATAAATTAAACTCTTTCTCCACTGCAATTCCCCTGCCTTGATAACCCACTTGGCGGTTACAAGAGGAGCTTCCTAAGCCAGTTAGAGGGGGTCAGAGGTCACCTTGGGTTGGGGAGCAGGAACTGAGGGAGGAGGGAGCTGTAATCAGGGTAGGGCTGGTGAACCTGCAGGACGGGCTGGGGGAAAGGCATGGAAGGGAGTGTCCCAATAGGAGGGAACAGTATATGAGAAAGCCTGGGCAGGAGAAACACCAGATCTAAGGACCCAAAAAGGACAGAATGGCTGAAATGAAGATTTGGGGTGGGGCAGTGAGAAGGGTGTGTATGATAGGGGCGTTATCCAGATCACCAAGGGCCCTGAGAGCCACTGTGAGGGTCTGGACTCTGTTCTGAACATTGTAAGAAGTGGTTGGCCAGAGGGAACATTTGGAGAGGAACAAGCTAGAGGCTGCTACCATGATATATGTCTAGAGGGGACAGATAGGAGATGTGGTGCTAGAGTACTGGGGACAGAAGCCACAGGAATGAGCGGGAGCAGCCAGGGTAGAGAGAGGAGGGCCTGAGCCCAGGCTCTTAGCACTGGGGTGACAGCCAGAGAGGTAGAAAGGAATCTGGAGGGAGAGCTCCAGATAGCCAGGAGTCAGTCACAGCTGAGGCTGGCTTTCCCTTCTCCCTACCAGGCAGTTTTGGGGAGGGAATAACAGACCAGGCTTGAGTTTTACCTGTGACCATATATGCTGGGAGGCCTTTGCCAGGTCACTTGCCTTCTCTGATTCTTAGAATGTAAGTCTGGAATGGGGAGCAGTTTATCTACTATGAAAGGGAAATAAATCTGGGGACCTCAAAATCATTAAGCCAAAGGGAAAAGACAAGCTGGGAACTGCATCAGGCAAACTTGCCTCCCATTTTATTCCTAAATAAGATAGCTACAAGGATTAAAAAGCTACATACCTCATGCACATTTTGCCCACAAGGAAATTCCTTGTAGGCCTCAAGATTTTTACCCTAAAACAGTTCTGTTGGATTTCACCCTGGCAATGTAAATGAATAGCTGATCTTCACAGGTGCAGGACAAAGGACAGAACTCAAAGTCATCCCTCTGCTCACCTGAGACAAATGCATCTGATTGCTTCCTCTGCCCTTATTGTTTATGTAAAAATGCAGCTTCACTGAGCCAGACTAAAGCATAAGTGACTATTCCTCTACCCGCCACCCCGGCTCACATGTAAATTGTTATTCAGTGAAAGGCTGATAAGGATCCAAAAGAACACAAACTTTTATCTCTTATCGACCCATGACCTGGAAGCCCCCACCCCACTTCAAGTTGTCCTGCCTTTCCAGACCAAACCCATGTACATTTTACACACATTGATCGATGTCTCATGTCTCCCTAAAGTGTATAAAACCAAGCTGTGCCCCAACCATCTTGGGCACATGGCATCAGGGTGAGGCTGTCACAGGTGCATCCTTAACCTTGGAAAAATAAACTTTCTAAATTGATTGAGACCTGTCTCAGATACTTTTGGTTCACACTACCTACCCTCTGGGTTAGCAAGAGGGTCAGAAGAATGGTGGTAAACTACAGGACTTTCTAGGTATGGAGACCCTGCCTTGTCAATTTCCATGGTATAAATGTGTCCACTATGGCCTATTTCAAGCTTCCCACATAAAGCGATACACAGTAGCACATGATAATGTGGTCTTTCCACCAAACAGAATAGATGTAAATAAGCTCCCAAGAGCATAGATGATAGTAAGGTATAGTAAGGATAGTAAGGATGATAGTAAGGATAGTGAGGATAGTAAGGATAGTAAGATAGTAAGATAGTAAAATATTTACTATTAAGATAGTAAAATGATTACGAGGCAACAAGTTTTGAGCATTTACTTTGTTTTTAGTAAAATGTATTTAAATCTAAGTTTATATCATTTGATCTTTTTATATTGTTTATTTATTTATTTTTTTTGAGACAGGGTCTCACTCTGCCGCCCATGCTGGAATGCAGTGGTGTGATTACAGCTCACTGCAGCCTCAAACTCCTGGGCATAAGCGATCCTCCCATCTCAACCTTCTGAGTAGCTGGGACTACAGGCGTGCACCACCACATCCAGCTAATTTTTATATTTTTTGTAGAGACAGGGCTTCACCGTGTTGCCCAGGCTGGTCTCGAACTCCCGGGCGCAAGCAGATCACCTCCCTCGGCCTCCCAAAGTGTTAGAATCACAGGTATGAGCCACCACACCAGCCTACATTATTTAATTTTTAATAATGGCTGTGTCTAACAACGAGCTCATAAAATTCCTGAAAAGCTAACAATTGGCTGTCATCCCTACTGGCCAGCTGTGACATGCCACTTACTGGTCTACAGGCAAGAGGATATGCAAAGTAAACCTCCAATGGGCCCTCCTCTCTGTCATCCTCAAGAGGCTCAACCTCCGCCCTAGGGGGCTGCTGGGCTTCTCAAACATTAAGGGGCAAAGGCAGGAGTGCTCTGAGCCCAGCCTACCCAAGGCAGCCACAGGTTTGGAGGAAAAACGCACTTCTTTCCACCCCTCCCCACCCCTGTCTGAGTCCTGCCATGCCTAAGACAGTATCCCCAACAGTGGCCCCTGTTCTGGGGACCTCATGTTCCCAGCCCTTCCTCAGGAAAACCAGAGAGCTAAACTCATTGGTGAACATCTCTTTATTGGAAAATCCTGGTGGGTGTAGGGGCTCCTTAGACTCTGGTGCCCGGACCTGCATCTGGACATGCTTCAAAGCTCTGGGTCCTGAGCCAGCAGTAGTAAAGGAAGACACAGATGCCCATCCCCAGGGCAGACAGCAACACCAAGAGCAGAGTCCCTGTTACCAGTGTCAGTGAACTGGGAAGACTTCCATATATAAGAGGGAGAGGCTAGGTAGGGCCTGGAGAGGCAAGAAGTGCGCCAGCAGAGGCAGGAAGTGCACCAGCAGGGGAAGGAAGTACACCAGCAGGGGCAGGAAATACACCAGCAGGGGCAGGAAGTGCGCCAGCAGAGCCAGGAAGTGCACCAGCAGAGGCAGGAAGTGCGCCAGCAGAGCCAGGAAGTGCACCAGCAGAGGCAGGAAGTGCATCAGCGGGGGCAGAAAGTGCACCAGCAGGGGCAGGAGATACACCAGCCGAGGCAGGAAGCGCCCCAGCAGAGGCAGCAAATATACCAGTAGGGGCAGAAAGTGCACCAGCAGAGGCAGGAAGTGCACCAGCAGGGGCAGGGAGGAGACTGGATGACAGCCCCCATTACCCAGAACCATGTTGTTCACATGGGAGAGGGTGCAGGTATACCAGCCTTGAACGACGCCTATGTGACCTCAAGCCTCAGTTTCCCCATCTATAGAATGGGACCTGATTGTGTCTACTGCATGGGATTATTGGGAGGATTCTTGGGAGGATTAAACAGAAAAATGGAAGCCCTGGCCCCTCCTTTGGCAGGCAGGCAGGCAACAAAGGCAGCATGTATTAACAATATGCAGTGGGCAGCAGTTACTGTTCTGGATAAGGAGGCTCAAAGGGGTAAGTGGCTTCCAAGGTCATGAGGTAAGCAAGCTTACAGCCAGATTGCCTGAGGTTTCAGGCTCTGCCCTGGCAGGCCACAAATGGGGGCCCAGGGAGGAGAGGGAGGGGAGAAGGAGGAAGCCAGAGCCTGGTTCTACAGGGACTGCCAAAGACCACTGGATGCAGAGCTCCAGTGTCTCTCACTGTGAAGGGGACCTGGAGAAGAGCCCAGGCTACAGGAGAGGGCTCCCTTGCTCGTCTCCAGGCCCCCTAGAGTCAGAAGCCTGACTCAGTTCAGAGGACAAGTCAGCCTTCTCTGTCACCTGATTGGAAGCCTTCTCAGGGGCCTGATGGGAAGCCTTCTCAGAGGCCTGATTGGAATCTGGAAGCCAAAGACATCAAAGACAGTTTTAAGCCACAACACAACATCCCCTCACACCCCCAACACACACAGCTATAAACTTCTGACCTTCTACTATTTGTTTACTGATACTGAAAGTTGAGAGAATATGAAGCTATTTTTTTTCCAAGGACAGAAAAGATAACATGTTGTTTATACTATGGTGTGAGTGACTACAAGCCTTCTCTCTCCTCTATGAAACTCTCAGAAGGGCATATATCAAGGGTTATGTGGGTGGAGGTGAAGGGGTCTCCAGATATCTGTTTAATAAAGATTACATGAGAGGCTCAAAAGTGGCAGGCCAATCTAATGCTCTCATTTTGCACTTGGGGAAACCAAGGCCCAGAAAGGGAAAGGATTTGCCCAAGGTCCCACACAGTAGAAGCCTCTCCAGACAGGATCCAGAAGCCAGGACCCTCCTTGGTTCTGATCAATGGGCACCTTGAGTGGGTCTTTGTGGTCCAGGCCAGTGTCAGTTTCCTCAGAGGCCTTTAGTAGCAAGATGATGTCTTCTATAAGCCTGTTCATGCAAGGCTGTGACTGATTCCCCGGGCCAGCTGCCTCCCTTGCCTCAGAGCCTACCTCCACCCTCCACACCCAAAACAGGGGCCTCCTACCTGCCAAGGACCTTTGATAGGGTAATCAGGGGGCCAGGCAGGTAATCTCACAACTGTCACTCATACTCCCAGGGAGGCATCCAGAAGTTCTTACCTAGAGGTGAGGGATGGAGGTGGTCAGTGCACCAGAGATGGGAGCTAGGGGTGGCATGGACCAGACCTGCATTTAACAAGCAAAGAAACAGAGGCTAACAAAAGGTCAGTGACTTGCCCATGATGTCACAGCCAGCAAGAGCTGGAGCTGGGATTTGAACCTGGGTCTAGGTCACAGTCCAAAGCCTCCATTCCCAGTATACCTCACACTGCCCACTCTAGGCCAAAGCAGTTGGGCTTGTGGTCCAGCCAAGCATGGGGAACTATTGCAGAAATTCAATCTGAGCTATTTTGAGCCTCAGTTTCCTCACCTCCCACACAATTAAGTGAGGTCATGTACCTCAAATGCCAGTTACAGGGTAAGGCATGCAGTACACCTTTGGTGAACATGACTCACCATGAGTGCCCCTGTGGAAGGAACAGGCCTTCTTGGTAGCATCAGATGGGACCTTTAGATTCCAGAGCAACAGCTTGTGGTGCACCCCGTAACTTCCAAAGATTCCTCAGCTTGGGTCTCTGTTCCTACGGGGTGGCAGAGTGGGGAGGGGGTTATCTGTTTCCACTCACATCAGCAGGAGTACCAGTAAAGCTGAAGGCCTGGAAGGAGAGCTCCAGTCTCTTGGGGACCTCTTGGGGCACGAAGTGGGAGTGGAAGTTCTTGCCGTTCACCAGGCACCTGGAAGGCACAGGTTGGAAGGTCATCAGGGTCAGACCCCTGAACTGGGATCTGGTCCTAGCCCCAACACCACCATACACCATCATTTGTTGAGAATTCTGCATGCCAAGCACTGAGCTAAGCGTCACCCCATTCAGTCTACACAGCAGGCTTTGAAGATTCTGGCACTATCCCCATTTCACAGAAGGGCAAACAGAGGCTCCAGAGGTGAAAGGGCCAGTAAAGCATTCTTGCTCCCCTGGCCTAGAAAGGACTACTCAAGAACGCCCAGGGAGCACTATCTGGGCATCCGTGCCTTCCAGCCCTGGAAGGCTCTCAGCCCCTGTCCCAGCCTCCCCAGAGATATCACCCACTGAATTGTACCCATCCTACCCTATCCTCCTCCTCCAGGTTCAGTACCCATGATTCCTGACAAGGCTGTAGTGTGCAGGGGCCACTTCCATATCCTGGCTGGGGCTGATCACACACTCGTCCACATATACCTGTAAAGGCTAATGGGAGCTGCCAACCACAGCAAACTCCATGTGGAGCTCAGAGCCCAGGAAAATGGTGCTGGTGTTGGTGGGGTCTGGATCCTCCAGTATGGCCCCACCCTGAGGTGGAATGAAACCAAGATGGGGAAGACACGAGACCCAGAGATGCTGAAGGGTTTGCCTGAGGCCACACAGCAAGAGGAGAAGCAGGAAAAGCTAGGGCCAGGTGGCCAGAAGCCCAGTGCCCTCACACTCTGTTACTGGTCCTCCCTCACTTCCTTATTTCTCCAGGGGTAACCTGGCCCAGAACTGGAGGCACAGGAGTCCCTGAGCTAGAAGACCTTCCTCTTGGGACATTACTTCAGCCCAGCCAATGTCCCCCACCTGTGGGAGGCAAAGAACCAGGCCAAAGTCTCATGCTGAAGTCCAGATTTCCAAACGCAGCCAGAGAGTCAGTGACCAAGGAGGTGGGAGGTGAGATGGGAGCTCCTGGGCTGGCAGGGAAATAAGGGGGGGGCGGGGAACATTGCAACTCTGGCATGTGAGGGGGCCCAGAAAACAAACACTAAAGGCCCATGCCAAGTCCCCCAGGGCAGCCCATGAGGAGGAAGAACAGGAGGGAAAAGGCCAGGAATTCCAAATTCCAACCCCCAGGTGAGCATTTCCAGCCCTGCCCCAGGCTCACACCAAGTGGGGGCCAGGAGGTCAGCGCCTGGTGGCCCCTTTCTGGAGGGGCAGCCCCCATCCAACCTACCATTCCCTCTTCCTGCAGACCTCCAGGTGGCAGGGCCCTAGACAGGCTTAGGGGTGCTAGGCATTGCTCACGCCTTGACCACACTGCTGACCCAATGGCGGGAGGCAGCACTGCAGGGCTGCTCTGAACTGGGTGGTGGTGCATAGACCAGGTCAGCAAATAATTCCACTATCTTTCCTGAGATCTGCGAGGATACTTGCTCCTTAGGATGGTGGGAAAAGGCAGGAAAGGTCTACTCCCAGCTTGGGCCCCCACCTCACTGGGTGGTCTTGAAGTCACTTGCCCTGTCTGGGCCTCAATTTCCTGCTAGGCCTCATTCGAGGTCCCTGTCTTGCTTAAATGCCTATTCTGGCAGGGCTCGGTGGCTCACACCTGTAATCCCAGCACTTTGGAAGGCCGAGGTGGGAGGATCGCTTGAGCCCAGGAGCTGGAGACCAGCCTAGGCAACATAGCGAGATCTAGTCTCTGCAAAAAAAAAAAAAAAAAAAAAAAAATCAAAAAATTATCCAGGCACACGCCTGTGGTCCCAGCTACTTGGGAGGCTGAGATGTGAGAATCACTTGAGCCTGAGAGGTAAAGACTACAGTAAGCCATAATTGCACCGCTGCACTCCAGCCTGGGCAACAGAGCGAGACCCTGTCTCAAGGAAAAAAAAAGCCAATTCTGCTTTGAAGAATGATGTGCTGAGTTGCATCTGGTGGTAGACAGTGGGGTCTTCCCTTCTGTGAGCCTCAGTGTCTTCATGTGGAATATGGGAATGATGGTTTTATCTCCTCACGGGGCTGTTGAGGATGCAAGAAACAAATGCACGTAAAGGGCACGTACAAACACACAGATGCTAAATGGCAAATCTGCATCAAATCCTTAGCTACTGAATTCTGCAGAGATACAGGGCTCTGCATCTTTGAGAGAAAAACTCACACTCGGAGAGGCTGTGACTTGCAAATCAGTATGATCTGATTCTACCCTTCTTTCCAGCCCAGACACCCCAGCTCTTCTCCCCCGAATCTCCCGGGTACTCCCTGGCTCTTGGCAGCCTTGTCCTCGTGAGCCTCCAACAGCCCCCTCACCAGTTGGATGAAGCCATAAGCTTTGAATGGGGCAGTGAAGACCTCATAGCCAGGTATGGCAGGGACTGGGGAGGGCAGGCAGGTGCCAAGGCACAGGTGGCAAGCATCCACCTGGGGCTCCTTCCTCACTGCCAGGAGGACATCTGTCTGATTACAGTCCTGCAGGAGGCTGTCTCCTGGCAATCCAGCCCAGGCTAGCTCAGGCGGAGAACCAGACTCAGCGAGAACATGGCCAGCAGAGGGTGCCCAAAAACCTCCCCCAGCATCCCCCACCTTCAATTAATTCCCTGCATCTCCAGAATGGAGCAGGGAGCTGGGCACAGTGACTCACGCTTGCAATCCCCGCATTTTGGGAGGCTAAGGTGGGCAGATCAGTTGAGGTCAGGAATTTAAGACCAGCCTGGCCAACATGGTGAAACCCCGTCTCTACTAAAAATACAAAAATTAGCTGGACATGGTGGCATGCACCTCTAGTCCCAGCTACTTGGGACACTGAGGCAGGAGAACTGCTTGAACCCGGGAGGCAGAGGTTGCAGTAAGACAAGTTTGTGCCACTGCACTCCAGCCTGGGTGACAGAGCGAGACTCAGTCTCAAAATGATAATAATAATAATAAATGGAGCAGGGTAAAATGTTGGGGGGTTGTGGAGATGGTGGTGTTTCCCCCTACAGACAGGATGTCCACCGACCTCATCCCTATCAGCCTGGCCTGGGAGTGCCTCAAAGCCCCTTCTGTGAGCACCTACTATGTGCCAGGCATCTGCAAACTTGCACCCCGGTATTTCCTCACAAGTTACCACCAACGGGGCAGTCAAGGGCAGAGGTGGCCCACAGTAAGGCATAGTAAGGGGCAACAACAGAAGGGGCACTGGAGCTGGTTCTGAAGGGTGCTCATAGCTGGCCAAGAGGAAAAGGATTTGCAGCTGAGGAACAGTGTGTTGTGAGGAAAGGCATAGAGGCACAGGAGGGCAGGTGATGGGGAGAAGGACAAGGCTGGGCGCTTAGGCCCATGAGCACAAAGCCTATATGTGGCCTGCACAGATCCCAGCTTGAGGGAGAGCCTGCAGAGTGGAAAGTGGAGAGTGAGTGAGCAAGGAATTGGTGGTAGATGCCAGGAGATGTCACAGGGATGCAGGTGTGAATGTACCCCGCATGGGGCTGTGACTGCCGGGGGAGAAGATGAGCTGGGAAAATGCTGGGCTGGAGAAGGATGTGAGTGCCAGCTCAGACAGGGAATGGGGGGTGGGGTCGGGGGCTAGAGAACAAGGCGGGGCTTAAAGCCTTTAAGGGAGCTGGGAGGGAGTGACAGGTGACTGGGCAGAGGCCATAGGGGCTTGGGAAGGGGACCTTGCCAGTGTGGGACAATAAGAGTAGCAGAGAAAGGCTCAGCCCACATCAGACTCATCCTGTAGCCATGGATACCCCCAGAGCAGCAGGGGCCACCACCCCGGAGCCCCCATCCTGTCTTGCTGGCAGCACCCCTACCCAGCCCTGCAGCCCCTTTAAGTCCCAGCCCAGGTGCAGGTGAGTCCCACCAGGACAGGGTCAGCCTACCTGACTGCACCTGGGCTGCAAGGGATGGGGCCAGGGTCTTGGTGGGAGCTGATTTGGTGCTTGGGGCAGGGCTGAGAGGGGCCCAGGTCTGCTTCAGCCCTGTGCTCCCACCTCTCTACCTCTCTGAGCTGTTGAGGGGGATGGCCCAGGATCAGAGGAATGGCCCCCTCTAGCACTCTCGAGCCCAGCAGCTCAGGGGAAGCCACAAGGAAAACAGGCCATTCCCTGATTCTGAGTGTAAGAAGCCCCCTGGTCACTTCCTTCTCCAGGCTGCCGAGTCCCCTCATGAGGAGGTCTCATGTGACCCTCATATGGGGCTGACACCACCATCTTGGCCACCTTCAGGCTCAGGTGGTATCTGCCCAACAGGCTCCCCTCCCAGAGGGGTTGGTGCTTTAGGAGGCTAGAAAAAGAGGGCAATGCCAGGCTGAGTGCAGTGGCTCATTCCTATAATCCCAGCAGTTTGGGATGCTGAGGTGGGAGGATTGCTTGAGCCCAGGCATTCAAGGCCAGCCTGGGCAACATAGGGAGACCCCCATCTCTATTAAAAGTAAGTAAGTAAAGGGTAATGCCTACCCCAAAGGAGGCTGGCAGCACCAACGTGGGATGCCAGGCACCTGCAGGGAAGCACTAATGGGCGGGGAGACTGCTACCCATCCCTCCTCCCCACCACCACATCCCTGCTCCTCCCAAACAGAAATGAAGACATAACAACCTCTTCAGGATTTATTGGGTCAGGGAAGGGCCTGGCCAGAGAATCTGTCCTGAGGTGTCCCTGGTACTGCACTCCTGAGTTTCTCCCTGAGTTGTCTGCCGCTCCTTGTTCAGCCATACCACCATGGGGTGACTCTGTCAAGCACCTGGGGGTCCTGGGTGCCCAGCTTGCCAAGTGATCTTGGGCCTATTCCTTGCCCTCCCTGAGCCTCAGTCTCTCATCCTCCATGGGAGGATGTAATTTTCCTGAAAAAGACAGGGCCGGGCCCACCCAGGGTCCACTTCCACTCAGCATCTTGGATTCCAGGGAAGCAGACAGCGTTCAGGTCCTGCCCTTCTGTGACTCCCTGCAGCCACTGCTTCTTGAAGCCTTTGTCTCTAAGCTTCTGTCCAGCTCAAACCCACCCAGGTGCCAGGGTCTTTGGACACCAGGGAGCCAGGTGTCCACATTCCCTGGCAGGAGTAGGAGGTTGACATGAAGCAGGAGGCCGATGCACAGGCCAGGTACCAGAGTATGATCAGGAGGAGCTGGGCTTCCCCACTGTTGGGTAGAGCTTGCGCAGGCTGGAGTCCAGGAGGAAATCCACCGACCTGTAGGGAGTGGAAGGGTGGTGAGCAGGTGACCAAGGGTGTTCATGAGGGAACAGAAGGCAGAAGGCCAGGGTTAGGGAAAGGGGCGCTTAGATGCAGGATACAAATGCCATCCAGCCAGAGACCCACCCTTATCCTGATCCTTCCACCTTGGGCTACCTGGGGAAGCTAGAATCAAACTCCCAGAATAGAAGCCATCCTCTTCTTTATTCAGGAGGAAACTGAGGTACTGGGTAAAAGACTTGCTCAGGGCCTCAGGGTCAGCTATCTTCTCCTGGAGAAAGACTGCTCCTCTCACTCTTACATTGGTCTGGTTGGGTTGAGCCCATATCTAGTTCTAAGACCAAGCACGTGACCCAAGCCTGGCCAATCAGCAAAGGGAAACTGGCTCATAGGGTGGGCATGCAGTCCAGAATGGACCAATGACACCCTTCCTTGGGATTTTTGTTGTTACTGTTTAAAAGCTTCTGCTGGGGGAGGCTAAGCTGGTGGGATAGAACTTGGGAGCTGCTAGGGCCATTTCTACTCCCACAAGGAGAAAGCAGGTGAAGCCAGCAAGAAATAGGGTGGGGTGGGGAGAAAGGCAGCAGGATGGGGAGACCCAGACCCCTAATGACATAATTTGGGTACCTAGATCTAGCCATGCCTGAATGCAACACAGCCCTGGACTTTTACTCCATTTTATTCAAATATTCAGTTTGAGTTAGGCTTCTGTCACCAATACCTCCCAAAATGCATCCCCTCTAGGGTGCACCTGCTCCTGCTTCTCTCTGGTTGTTTTGTAACACTAGACTTTCTTTCTGGGAATTTACTTGTCCTGTGTCCCATACCCTCAACGCACCCCTCTTCTTTTATTGCTAAAGTGCCTGCCATACCATATGACAAGGGTACAGGCTGTCCTTTCTAACCCAGGAGCCAAGTGCCAGCCTTGTCCCTGCTATTGCTCCAGCAAAGTGGGCATACCCCACACTTCACAGAGTCTAGCTCTACCTGGAGACTGGATGATCCACTCTCATCACTGGAGAGTGGATGATCCCTGAGGCCAAGAAGGTACCCACCTGTCAATGGGGTGGATAATGATGGGGATGGTCAACAGCCCAAGCGCGGTGGTGGTCCACTTGCGGACAGCCAGGGGCCAGCGGGTGGCAGTGCCCAGGACATAGAGAGAGGCAGCACACACGCGGTTGATGGTGAAGCCCGGAATGGCCACAGAGGCTAGAGCCTGCCATACAAAGGTGTCCACCACAGCCACAGTCACCCTGGCGCTGCGGCCTGCTTCAGGGCTGGGCACCTGGTGGGCGCAGAGACACTTAATCCAGCTGGGGCAGAGGCAGAAAATCCTGCGACAAGGGGCACGAGGCTAGACCGGGAGGGGCAAGTGGCCAGTGGACTTGTCCGCACCCAGGAGTGGGGTACAGTCTGCCACATCCAGTTCGGGGAGTGGGAGTGTGGGGGCAGGGGTACACTGTCCTACAAACAGGACTGTCTATGGACTGCACTAGGCAAGGTTGTAGGGACTGGAGTGTCCCACAGGGACTTTATCACATGCAAGGCTGTGGACTGAACCACACAAGAAGAGAGCTAGGGTTGGGGGTTGGAAAATAGGCTAACACTCACCTCTCCAGCCTTCTTGCCTTTGTCAATGGCATCCGCCAGCACGTAGGAGCTGGCCACGCCATAGCTCAGCCACACCACCGCCGCTGGCACAAGAGAGCGGAAAGCCTCGCCCACCTCATTGGCATAGCCTGGGGGAGGGAACATTTAATTCCTAGGCTCGCAACTGTTCCACGAGGGGGCGTTGGAGCAGGCTGGTTCTCATCCTAGCCAGCTAAGCAGTCCCTGGGTGACCTTAGGCAAGTGACTTGACCTCTCTGAGCCTCCCTTTCCGAGATGTAAACTGGTGCCATGATGCCCACCTCGGACTCGGGCCACTGAGGGCGGACTGAGCACTGAGTCACTGTTACCATTGCTTATTGGTTAGATTTCCTGGTCTTGGTCCCAGGAGTAACTGCACTAATGAGGTGACAGGCACCCAGAGGGGCAGAGTGATCGAGGGCAGCGCCACTGACCAGACGCTCGCCAAGTGCCAGGGCTTTCTGCGCTTTATCCCATTCCACCCTCGCAACCACCACCCAATGAGAGAGGCCCTCGTGTGTATCTCGTTTGTTTTTTGTTTTGTTTTTGTTTTTTTGCCGAGGAGGAAACTGAGGTTCAGACAGAGCCAGTGCGTGTCAGGACCGAAATGGGAGTGGAGATCCCGACTCCACAGCCAGCCAGAGCGCATGCCAGAGCGGGCAGCCCGCTCACCCCATGGGAGCTTCCGCCCTGGGCGACCCACCAGGGTAGTGTGACCTTGGGCAAGTCCCTAGCCCTGTCTGAGCCCAGTCTCCGGCCCAAAAGCAGAATGAGAACTAAGATCATCCCGCCTCCTCCAGGCCCCGGGCGGGCGTCCGGCGACCCCTGCTTCTCCAGCCCAGTGGTGGTGGGGTCGCCGCGCCCGTCGCCCCGCGCTCACCCAGGTATCGCACCCACGTGTCCCGGTAGAGATCGCGCTCTGCGCCCCGCGGCTGCGGCTCTGACATGACTCTCCCGCCACGGCCCCGGCCACTACAGCCGGTACTGGCTCCACTGCAGTCTCCGCCGCCGGCACTTGGGTCTGCCCGGCCGGGACCCGCCGAAAGTCCCGCGCCGAAGGACAGGTCAGGAAATCTCCGCCAGCAGGGAGCGTCTGCAAATTCCCCCCGCGCACCGAAGCCCCTCTCCCAGGCTCGGGTTTTACAGACTGGTTTTCGTCACGTTTTCTCTGAGCTGTTGGCGCTAATCGCTCCCAGGACTGAGTGTAGGTTTTGGAGCCAAAGAGACAGGGGATCAAGTTGGGGGATGCTACACTGCAAAGCTTGTGACCTCGGGCTTATCCAGCATCTCTTTATTCATTTGTAAAAACGAGGGAGGGACACAGGCTGGGCCCGTTGGCTCACGCCTGTGATCCCAGCACTTTGGGAGGCCGGAGGCGGGAAGATCTCTTGAGCCCAAGGGTTCGAGAACAGCCTGGACAACATAGCGAGACCTCGTCTCTACTAAAAAAAAAAAAAAAAAATTAATGTAATAAATAAAATGGGGAACACAATAGTGTCCACTCCCTAGGATGGTTCCGAGGATTAATTATAACAGTCACCATTTATTGAGTTTATTGCCAGTCTACATGTTCGCTAAAGGACTCTCCATGTCTTACACCTGAAACCCTCCCACCAGCCTGGGAGCCCGTTTTACAGGTGAGAAAATGGAGGCACAGAGAAGGTGGGTCATTTTCCCAGAACACACAGCTGCTAAGTGGTGAAGTTGTGATTTGAATCCAAACAGTGTGGATCCAGATCCCGTGCTCTTAATGCGAGCTCTAAATGAGGCTAGAGGAGTGAACGGTGAGCCCCTGGGAGGTAGGTGCCTGGACTCTGGAGTCCCTTCTCAGCAGTCGCCATGTATAACTAGGAAGCACTCGCATTTAACTGGATCAGTATGTCCCCAGACTGAGCTTCTTGGGGACAGGATGTTGGATGAATTAATTAACGAATGAATGAATCGGGCAAGGGAGACAGAGTTGGGGTTAGTGATTACAACAGGAGGAAGCCTTCCCCCGCTGGACCTCAGTTCACCCAGGTGAGCAATGTGTGCACTTCACTAAGTCTCTGTGACTCCTTGGCGGGTATAATTGAGCGGCGTTGGAGACAATCCTGGGTTCAAATCCTAGCTGTGCCGCCTACTGGCTGTTAGCCTCCCTGAGCCCCAGTTCCCACGTCTGCAAAAAAAATGAGAGTAGCCAACATTGACGAGCACTTACTTATACCAAGCTCTTAAGCGCTTTGCACGGCTTATTTCCTTTAATCTTTGCAACAACCCAAAGTGTAATAGTAAGCACAGGGTTTTTGCGTGATACCCGGTAGGCCTTATTAAGAATTAGCTCTTATTTTCATCAAAGGTAGAGAAAATGAGTAACTATTGAGGCCCCCGCTGGCTCCCTACGGAGGCCCCCGCTTTCAGCCCTAGGCGCCTCTGTCTTGTAGGGCTGTATAGGACAGTCCGGTCAGCAGTTACCTCAAGCTGAGCTGGGCTTGTAGGTTGGGGAGGGTGGTGGGTGGGAGAAAAGTTGATGGGGAACGCAGCGGTTCCCACCCCCTGAAACACCGGCAATGCTGGCGTGGAATTATTAGACAGTCCCTAAAACCACGTGATCGCTGCTCCTCCGCCTCCCTCTCATTCTGGGCCCAGTGCTAGCTCCGCAGGCGCTCGCCCGGACTCACACTTGGCTCGCACGGGCTACGCGGCACGTACTGAGCAGCTGGCGGGGCAGGGTCTCCGCCGTCACTGTGAAGGCCGTGGGGAGCATCCTTAGTGCCCTGATCAAAGATGGCGGAAGACAACCCACCAGCTGGACCAATCAGAAGGCAAGCTGGGCGTGGCCCCTTGGGAAAGCTCACGCTAGAGAGCCGAGGAGGATTTCTGCGCATGCGCCCTATCTATTGGCGTGAAACGGCTGCTGGGTCCGGGTCCCTGACGCCGTCTGAGTTTGGGCCTCTTGAGTGAGAGGCAGCGAGGAGCCTAGCGGTGGGCATTGAATTTCACTCCCTGCGCACTGAACGTTGCTTTATTCATTGGTTAATTTTCCTAACAGCGTTGTAAACCCAGGCCGGGATGTCCTGAGCGTTCTGGCAGAGGCCCGTGCAGCCTCGGCCCCTTCCGGTCCGCGCTAGCCTGGCCTTTGCCCTGAGCTCCCTCAGCTTCGCAAGATGAGCTTCCCAGACGGGGCCGGGGCCTGGCTCTGAGGGAAAGGCGTTCCCGCCAGGTCTGGGGCCGCCTTCCCATGTTCTCTAAAGCCCAGCACCTGTGGTTCGTTGGCGGGGCTCGTGGGATTGGGGTAAGGGCTGTGGTTTCGAGGCCGTCTGTGGCCGCCCCCAGCCCCTAGTCTGCGAGACGCCGGCCCCGCCTTTGGGCGGCCTCCTGCCTGGGGGGCCTCCAGGCCTGGCTACGCCGACCGGCACCTGAACTCCCTGCACGCGTTGCATGCCTCCCACAGAGATGGGACTGCTTAGTAAGACCTTGCTCAGGTCAGTCAGGAAGCGGGTTGGCGGGCACCGCGGGACACTCAGACTGGCAAACACCCTCTCCGAGTGCTGCTCTCTTGATCCCACTTAGCATTTTTGTCTCGGGGTTGCTCACATGGAGGACTGCTTGGTGAGAGGCCGGTAGCACTGAAAAGGGCACTGGACGATCTGCTTTTAGCATTCACTCCCACCCCCAACCTCCCTGGCCCTCCCTGCAGCTGCGATCCCTGTGGGTCATTTCCCTGGCGCTTTGTTTGCATGGAGAACAGCGGGTGGGTACCCGAAGTCCCAGGAAGCTCTGAGTCACTGACAATCATTAGTAATCAAAGAGGCAGGCCGTGTGGCCCAGGAGTTGCCAAAGTCTCAAAGTGAGGGAGAGGCCAGCCTGTCTACCGAGTGGGAAGATGTGTGCTGACTCAGGCCACCTCCTGAGACCTGGGAAAAGCCAAAAGCTACCCCAGCCTCAGTGCTAAAATGTTTGGAAGAGTTTCTGATCCCCACCGTAACTCTAGCAACCAGCTACCCTGCTACTCCTCATTGCGATCTAAACTTATGTGTTCATTTAGGAGCAAGTTTCTCCCCGGCAGCTGACTTCCCTGAAGTGTTAAGTCCCAATCTTTCACCCTTTTCTAATTTTTTTCCCTGCTGCCACCCTGTGGTACATGCCCCCCGCCACCCCCAGCTTCGCTGTCCCTGGACAGGTGAAGTTGGCACAGTTTACAGGACAGACAGATCCTATCACGATGGCCAGCCAGCTCCTGGGGACTCCTTAGGTATTTGATAGACACGGAGACCCACTGCAGTCGCTCTTCCTCTGCCTAACTGAAATGAAAGCTCCTGAGGTCTGTCCTCCAGCCCAGTTTCTTTGGGCTTCAGGGTTGTGCGAAAATGACTGCTACAAGGGGTAGAAATTGACAGGGAGACACTGAGGGGGCCAGGCCTGCTATAGGAGAAGGTGTTATTTCGGGGTGCCTGCCCCCAGCTGTTTCATCTTCTCTTCTGAGGCTTTGTCTGGAAGCAGGACCTCCACAGTGAAATTGACCTTCTTGGCATGAATGAAGCTGTAGGTGTTGTCAAACCGCAGGACATCTGAGGGAAGGCAGAAACCAGACAGACATTCAGGCAGTTCTGGCAAAGGGCTTGGGGACAGTGATTTTTGTTGATGTTTAGTGACTGAGCAAGGCAGTGTGGCAGGTCATGGGGATGAAGGTAGCCTAGGTAATGATCCTTGACCTTCTGAAACTTAATCTAGCGGGGTTGACAAGACATTCATGGAGAGAAAAAAATAGGCAGAACATGCCAAGTGCCAGATGAGTGACAGAGACCATCTCGTCTGTACCAGCTTGGAAGAAGAGGGCCTGGTAGACTGAAATCATGTGAAACGCTTTTTAAAGGAGTTAGAGCTTGAACTGGACTTTGAAAGGAGGGAGGAGAATTAGCAGCAGCAGTAGCAGTTGTAATAACAATAATAGCTGTGTGTCGCAGCACTGGGTTGGTAATCTATATGTTATCTCACTCTTTCCCCCAACTCTACGAGTTCAGCAGTAGTCCTGTTTTATAGCTGATAAAAAGGAGGTGGTGTGACTCTGGTGACACACAGTGAGGAAATGACAGAGCTGGAGTTTCCGTCTGTTCCACATTGCTGCATTTGTTCTGCCTGACTTGGACCCTGGAAAACCTGGCCCTCTTCAATTTCTGACAAAAGGTAAAATGTGCAAACTTTGTGAACCAGGAATTTATCCTGCAAAAAGGTAAATGGACAGAGATGCTCGTTGCATCCCTATTTGTAATAATAAGAGATTGGGAAAACTCAAATGTTCATCAAAGGAGAATTGCTTCAACAATTTTATGTTGTAATCCATGTGATAGAATACTGATATATTTTTTAAAAAAGAGGTTAGCTCCACAGAAGTGACAGGAAACTGTCCACAATGTGTCCTGAGGCCAAAACAAGTTGCAGAACAGTATGTAAACAGTTTGTAACTTTTTTGTAACTACATAGGTAAAAATACTTTTGGCTTTACTTCTTTGTCTGCTTAGACTCCCAGATTCTCTGATGATACCACTCTGGTGCTTGTCCTAATGGGAAAGTTTCCTGAAATCCTGCGATGAGTTTGACAGTTTCAAAATTCCTTCAAACATACAGTGAATGACAGACAATTCCTGTGAATATGTGTGTGTGTGTGTGTGTGTGTGTGTGTTTGTGTATGTCCTGTTTTCTATTTATTTATTTAAGATAACCTGATTGTCATCCTCGCGCAGGGGCCATGCTAATCTCTGTATTGTTTCAATTTTAGTGTATGTGCTGACAAAGCGAGCACTGTATGCCCTGTTTATTATGGAAACATGTAATGCTTCTAGATGGAAGATATTTGATAGGATAATAGACATTAGCAGTGGTTTCCTCTGGAAAGAGAAAATGGGCATGCACTTGGCAGAGAAAGCTTCCACACTTTGGCAGAGGAACAGGCTGCTTTTAATCTAACCCTGTTTCTTTGAGAAGTTGTTCCATTTCAGCCAAACACCGCTTCAGGAGAACTGAATGTGAAAACAAAAACACTAGTTCTGCCCCATCCCTATCCCGGTCTTCTCTCACTGTTCTCAGCAAGAAAAAAAATATCCTGTATTTAATCCTAAGACTTAACCTTTTCCTGACCCTGGACAAAATGCATAGTTTAGACAAAGGGTAGACACACCACCCACTCTTTCCTCATGGTGAAGGTGTTAGTCATCTATTTTTCCCCTGTACTAGAGGTCTTTCAGAGCCAATAGTCCCTCTGGCAAGAGTGAAGCTTCATCTCTGCCCTGGATGATAGAGTCTTAGCAACCAGAATCAGCCATGCTGGAGGAGAGGTCCTTTGCATTCATTGCACCAAGTACTAGGTCGATAATGGCCCTGCCTAGCAAGATACTTGGCCTCAGAAACAAGAAAGGGGTTGATCAGAGAACCACAGGCCAGAGGGAAGTGGAGTCATTGCAGCTCCAGAGTCTGCATGGTTCATTTTGACACTAATCATAGACTCACAGAGCCCCCAGACACCCTCCAGGATAAGGCTCCTTAACTTTAGTTGGGTAACTGACCCCCTTGAGAATCTGATGAAAGCACACAATTTGGCTGGGCGTGGTGGCTCACGCCTGTAATCCCAGCACTTTGGGAGGCTGAGGCGGGTGGATCACCTGAGGCCGGGAGTTCAAGACCAGCCTAACGAACACGGAGAAACCCCATCTCTACTAAAAATACAAAATTAGCCAGGCGTGGTGGCCCATGCCTGTAATCCCAGCTACTTGGGAGGCTGAGGCAGGAGAATCACTTGAACCTGGGAGGCGAAGGTTGCAGTGAGTCGAGATCGAGCCATTACATTCCATCCTGGGCAACAAGAGCAAAACTCTGTCTCAAAAAAAAAAAAAGAAAAGAAAAGAAAAGAAAAAAAGGCACATAATTTTAGATTTCCTGGAGCCCACTGTAGAACCTCTGGGGCCATGGTTCCCAATGGGAAAGGTACAACCTTACCCTCTCATTCATGTATTGAAAAAATATATATTCTAAATTAGTTCCCTTTTATATCTCTTTTCTATTACCATAGGAGATTATATTGATTTTTAAATTACATGTGTAGGTAGGATGGGTTATATTATTGGGATATAATATTCAGAATTTCTGTATTTTGAATTTCACTTCAGAATAGTAAAGGGGACATTTTAGACACTATTTGCTGTAAAGAGGAAGTGTTTGGTCTTTACGATTTAGAACCACTGCTCCGGGGGACCCCACATTAAGATCTGCTCTGGTCTACTCCTCTCTTTTTGTTGTTGTTGTTGTTTTGAGACAGAGTCTCTCTCTGTCACCCAGGTTGGAGTGCAGTGGTGCAATCTTGGCTTACTGCAACCTCCGCCTCCTGGGTTCAAGCAATTCTCATGCCAAGTAGCTGGGATTACCAGCATGCGCCACCACACTCAGCTTATTTTTGTATTTTTTAGTAGAGACGGGGTTTTGCCATGTTGGCCAGGCTGGTCTCGAACTGTTGGCCTCGAGTGATCCACCCACCTTGACCTCCCAAAATGCTGGCATTACAGGCATGAGCCACCACGCCCGGCCATCACTTCTGTCATTTTAAGGAGAAGGAAAACCAAACCTAATAGAGACACTTGCTGAAAACACTGGGAGAGTCATTGGCAAAGCTGGACTCAGAAACCAGGCCTCCTGGTGCCTGGCTGGGCTCTTTTCACCACAGCACTGCTCACCCTTTCTATAGTGTTTCCAGTCTTCTGACCACATTGTGCACTTCTAGTGGACAAAGTCCAGATCTTTCTTTGGGAATCTTTTCATTCCTAGTTGAGTATTCTGTACTCAGTAGGCCCTTGGTAAATATTAGGTGAGAAAACAAAAGCGAAATCAATTCAAACTTTGGTTTTCCTCCTTGGTAATTTAGTGCACTGGGATAAGGACCAGAGAAGCCTGGGGAAGGTTAATGTGCTCTTGCCATTGGAGGCTGGCACAGTTTTAATTTCTCCACTGGATGACTGTTCTGCTTTCCAGGGGTCTCCTGGTTCTCCAAGGGCATTGCCCTCCCGCAGATGAGCTTGCAAGCTAATACTGGGTTCTCTCTGGGCTCACATCTAACCTTAGCTGTGGCACCAGGTAACAGCTGATTCCAACTTCATTGTCTTTGTACCTGGGAAGGGGGAATGGATCCTGTGGCCTGCCTCTGCTCCTCTTGGGAATGGGCAAGGAGCAGATCCCAGACAAGACCCTGCAGGCAGGTAAAGGTTCTGGTTGGGAATGTATCCAGAAGGAACTAAAATAAATTTGGGGGTTTGCAAGCCCAAGCCTGATTATGTTAAAAGGTTCATGTTCCCTTCTTGGGCAATGTCCTTCAGATACTAAAGAGAAGATAGAGGGGTAATGGGCAGATGCTGGAAAATGGTTTGGGGCTCTCCTACAGGCTCTGTGACCTTGGGTCAATTACTTCCCTGGTCTGGGATTCCACACTCTCTGACACATCCAGGACAGTCAATGGCCAAGAGGTTCTGGATCAGGACTCTAGGATTCTCTGATGTCTTCTGTCTTGATGTCTACATAAGCTACTTTATGGGAGAACATCCCTTCTCTATGCCCCAGCTTCCCCATCCATTAAAAAAATAATTCAAGGCTGGGCATGGTGGCTCATGCTGGTAATCTCAGCACTTTGGGAGGCCAAGGCAGGAGGGTCGCTTGAACCCAGGAGTTCGAGACCAGCCTGGGCAACACAGCGATACCTCGTCTCTACTAAAAACAAAGAAACAGACAAAAAAATTCAAGCTTATATGTATTAAGTGCTTTCTCCTCTGTGGGTGACATTGTCTGGGCTGGTGCTAAGCCTTGTTCTTGCTGAAGCACACAGTATACACCTTCTCCCCCAGGACCCGGCTGCTCACTAATAAGAATATTCCGCCTCCCCCAGGAGCTATATGGTACCACAGAGCATCTGTGAGGAGGGGGCAGTGGAGATGAAGGGTGCCTGGGATGTGAGGAAGGAGGCAAAATCTCAGGTTGGGTGACCATGTAGACAAGCAGAGAGGCCAAGACATCTGTGAGGCTAGTTCAGATCTCCTGGTAGTGCTGGTACTACCGTAGAAATGGGGCACAGGGCTTCTCCCATCTCCCGGCATTGTCTGCAGGATGGCCCTTCTCCCACAGGCCTTGTCCTAACAATAATAGTGGTGACTGCAGTGCATTGAGTGCTTGCTCTATGCCAGGCATTATGCTAAGTGCCTCACAGAACCTATCACATCAAATCATCAGGTATCCCTGTGAGATACCCCAGTGTAGCAGTCCGGAAACCGAAGCTTAGGTTTTGTCACTTGCCAAAGGCCATGGAGCTAGCCTTTAGTCAAGTCCAGCTCAGCTCTGATGATAAAGCCTTTGCTCTGATTGATTTTCCATTGGCTCTGACAAAAAGAAACTGGAGATTTGATTGTGGGTGTTGAAGGGAGTGTAGGTATGGTTTTTCTGCTTATAAATGTAATATTAATACGTAGTCATCATAAAATATATTTGCAGAAATACTGTAAAAATGAAAGCCCTCCATAAACATCCTATCATCCCAGAGATAACCACTGTTAGAGTTAGCATAAATTTCCCCAGAGTTCTTTTCTGTGTACACACTTCCTTAACCAAAGTAAGTACATACCATACATGCTGTGTTTCATGCTTATTTGTTTAACATGTCCCAGACAGTTTACATGTCAGTTTATTCTCTTTAACATTGTATGGATGGACTGTAATTTACTTAACAGACCTTATCATGGTCATATGGTTTACTGCCAGTTTCCCAGGCTACCGGGAATATCCTTGTTCCTGTATCTTTGAGTATTTGTGTATTTCTGTAGGATAAATTTTCACAAGTAGAATTGCTGAGTCAAGGGGAATTTTAATGGTATTACAAAGTTAAGAGAGATTAAGCACCTTTTCAAATGTCTGTTTCCCATTCTTATATTCTTGTGTAAACTGCCTGCTCATAGTCTGTGTCCATTCTTTGGTCAGCTGGGAGATGAGTGAAACTCAGGGGTGAAGGCTGCACTTTTGAGCATCTGCTTACCTTGTGATCCCATGCCCACCCAGCCAGTTCTGTCTCTGTGACCTCTGGGAAGGAGCATCCCCAAGAAATATCTGTCCAGTCACAGACCCAGTTAGACCTGGACCAGAAAGCAGACGTGTTGAACCCCTGTGATCGCCTAGGACTGTGACTCACCCATACCTAGGAGTATGAGATCAAAGTCCCACCCTGCTGTTAACCAGTTGGGTCACCATAAACAAGTCTCCAAGGCTAGATTTCTTCATCTATACAAGGAGAGGATTGAACTGATGGCATTCCACTTCTAGTTCTAACACTCAGAGCCAAAAATCCATGGAGGAAGAGGAACCTCACAGGCAGAAAGCTGGACATGGGGCTTCAAGGCATTGCCAAGGCAGAGATACTTACAGATGCCAGGATCACTGCAGGTGAGGGTCCCATCTTCAGGGACCAGGTGGGAGTTGTACCTCTGGTTGGGCAGCACCTCTGTCATCTCCCCTGCCCGCTGCCTCTCTCCCATCTTGGTCTTCAGGAAAATCCCAAAACCAACATCCGCTCCATCTGACATAAACTGCCACCTGCAGGGGATATCACCAATTGAGACATAATTCTGTCTGTGTGTGCCCTCTCCGGGGTCCTGGCACCAGGGCTTCTCCTATTCCAGCCCACCTATCAGGACCTATAGATGAAAGCTCGGGTCTCCTGGAAGGGCCCAGGCCCCTACCTGAGGACACAGCCAGGGAAGAGGATCTCATACTCCACTTGGTGGGAGGAGCCACGGGAAATCTGCACGCTGTGTTCATACTGCTGTTTCACCTGGTCTCGCACATAATACTTCCTGGGGATGTCACCCCCGTAGTTGATCTAGAAGCATGGCATGGAGTGAACTGGAATGTGCATTTGAGCCAGGCATCCCTGTTCACCTCTAGCCTCTGGCGGCTCATACCTTGGATTTGCACTTGGGGTTTCCATCAGGGTCAGTCATGGTGCCCCCATACTCCACAGGCACCTGGTCAGGGCTGATATGTTTCAGTAAAACCTCCTTCCAATTTGCTGGCAGGAGAGGGAAGGAAGGATAAAGATGTATCTCAACACTAGGTAAGATTTCGCCATAACCCTAGTGGTCTACACTAAAGAGGCAGAAAAAACCCATCCATTGCACCCCACAACACCCCGCCTCAAATTCCTGCATTAGGAGCACACAGTGCATGCATAGTACTGCAGGGGGTTCAGCAGGAGCCAGAGGATGGCTCTGCCCCAGGCCAGAAATCGAGACCCTGGTTCCTGCCCTCGTGTCTGAACAGCTAAGTGACATTCTTGCCCTGCCTGGTTATGGTGGGAGTGAAATGAACTAAGTACTTGAGAAGGCTTTTCTGTTTGAGACAGAGTCTCACCCTGTTGCCTAGGCTAGAGTACAGTGGCGCAATCTTGGATCACTGCAACCTCCGCCTCCCGGGTTCAAGTGATTCTTCCGCCTCAGCCTCCTGAGAAGCTAGGACAACAGGCGCCCGACACCACACCCAGCTAATTTTTTGTATTTTTAGTAGAGATAGGGTTTCACCATGTTGGCCAGGCTGGTCTCGAACTCCTGACCTCAGATGATCCACCCACCTCGGCCTCCCAAAGTGCTGGGATTACAGGCATGAGCCACTGCGCCCGGCCGAGAGGGCTTTTTAAACCATAAAGTGCCTTATACACGTTAAGAGTATGTTATTACCCCATGGAGGTGATACATTGAAGTACAGCAGGAGAGGGGACAAAGAAAGGGTAGAAGGACATTCCATGCAGAGGAAACAGCACGTGTGGCGGGCAGGAAGGCCTGAATGCACATACCCTGTCCTGATTATACTGAACACTGTGAGGGCAGAACTATGTGTCTTTCCCCCACCTTCCCCTACAGCTAAGTCGTGACTTAATAAGTAAATGCATCTCTGTAGAGTCACCCCTTAAATGGATTCTTGGCTTTACCCCAGCCACCATTTCACTTCTGCTCCCATTGTTTTCAGCTGTTGAGCCACCAGTAATTTGGCTCTTTTTTTTTTTTTTTAAAATACCCAAGCTCCTTCCTGTCTAGGAGAGTTTGACTCTAGCACAGCCAATGCTAAGAACCACTTCACCAATCCAAATTCACAAATATCAGCCAGGTACAATATTTTGATACTAAAACCTGCCTATGCCTACTATATAGAGCATATATAGGCAGCAGCTCCAGGCCCTGGGGTACAAGCCAGTGTCATGCTGGCTGGAGACCCGCAGAAACTGTCCAGAGTCTGCCAGCCCTCAGATTTTTAGGGACCAAAGACCATGCAACTCCTGGGAACACAGTGTCTGTGGTCTTGGGGTGATTTAATCTGCACTGCTAAGCTCCAGTGACCAGCCCGAGTGAATCTCCCCCCTCTGTTGAAAATTCTGTATCTTCCCAGCCTGAGGCAGGTTTGGTTGAAAGAGTTTTAGGTGTGGTAGGGGAACAGACTGAACCTCCTACACAGCTCTGCTGCCAGGAAACCAAACCGTCTCATGCCCATGGTGGGTGGTAGCAGCAGAAAAAACAAAAATCATAAAAACCTCTTGCTCAGCTTTTATAGTTCTTCCCCCAGTCCAGCTGGAGAGTTGGGATAAGGCCAGGAGGATTCTTCCCATCTTACAGAGAGAATAACTGAGGCAACAAAAAGCAGAGAGCTGGCTGGGTGCAGTGGCTCATGCCTGTAATCCCAGTGATTTGGGAGGCTGAGGCAGGAGGATTGCTTGATCCCAGGAGTTCAAGATCAACCTGGGCAACATAGTGAGCTCCCGTCTCTACCAAAAATAAAAATTTAGGTGGGTGTGCTGGCTGTAGTCCCAGCTGCTCAGGAGACTGAGGTGGGATGATCATTTGAGCCCAGGAGATTGAGGCTCCAGTAAGCCGTGATCACGCCACTGTACTCCAGCCTGAGCAACAGCAAGGCTCCCTCAAAAAAGAAAAAAGAATGCTTTTGTGGGGACCTAAATTTAAAAAAGAAAAAAAAAAAACAGAGCTTGAGCTTGTTGCTGCCAGAGCTAAGTCTGGAACCCAGAAGTCCTACACTTCCCTGATGAGTTCACTTCACTCCCCGGGTCTCACTAGCATACATTTGGAAAATCTCCAATTCTCGTGTGTCACCAAAAGATGAACATTGTGAAGCCTTCAGAATCCCTCTTACCTACCCCCAAAGTTCAGTGCCATAGGTGGCATTCACCCTTTCATGAGCCTGTCCCAATATACCTTTTTGTTTTGTTTTTGAAACGGTGTCTCACTATGTTTCCCAGGCTGGTCTCAAACTCTTGTGCTCAAGTGGTCCTCCTGCCTCAGCCTCCCGAGTAGCTGGGATTACAGGTGTGAGCCACCACACCTGGATGCCCAATCTACCTTTCTAGCCTTTTCTCCCTCCACTCCACTTCAGCAAAACTGAACTCCTGCCTGTCCCTGGCTGGCTTGATGCCTGTGTGTCCTCTTTGCTGGGTTTTGGGTCACACTTTTCCTTGTACCCTGATGTTGCCCCTACTTCCCTGCATATCCATTCCCTGTTGACTTGCTTCTCTGCCAACCTCATTAATCACTTCTCAGTCTCCCTGCTGGGTTCGCTTTCTCTGCCTGCTCTTGAGCTCGGATGTTCCCCAGGGTTCTGCCTCTGTTCCTCCGTAGGCAGTCTTACGTACTGACAAGGTTTTAGCTGCTGCTGTTATTTGATAACTCCCAAATCTCCAGACCAGAGTTTTCTCCTAAGCTTCAAACTCAGGTATTCCCAACATTTTTATATCTCACAGACTCCTCAAGCTCAACTTCAAGCTTTTTTGTTTTCCCCAGTTGAACTAATGCGTCACCATCTCTCAGTCACCTCTGCCAGACACCAGGAGCTCATTCTAGCTTTCTCCCTTACTTCCTACATCTAGTCAATTGAGTTCTGCTGTTTTACTTTCTATATAAGTTTTTTTTGTTTTTTTTTTGTTTTTTTGTTTGTTTTTTTTTTTTGAGACAGGGTTTTGCTCTGTTGCCCAGGCTGGAGTGCAGTGGCACCCATCATGACTCACCACAGCCTCGAACTCCTGGGCTAAGCGATCCTCCCACCTCACCCTCCCATGTAGCTGGGACTACAGGCACACACCACCAAACCTGGCTAATTTTTGTATTTTTTGTAGAGATGGAGTTTTACCATGTTGTCCAGGCTGATCTGGAATTCCTGGGCTCAAGCGATCCACCCACTTGGGCCTCCCAAACACTCACAAAGTGTTTGGGATTATGGGCCTGAGCCACTGCGCCTGGCCCTAAATAATTCTTAAATCCATCCTCTCCTCTCTATCCCTGTTGCCAATTCCCCGATTCAGGCTTGCAACACCTCTTGCGTGGACTGTGACAACATTGTGCCGAGATTGTACCACTGCACTCCAGCCTAGGCAACAGAGACTCTGTCTCAAAAAAAAAAAGGGGGTCCCTTGAAGGTCTTTTGGCCTCTCTGGGAAGGCAGATACAAACAAATCTATAGCTTCCCTAGTAGCTGGTATGTGCCACTATGCACAGCTAATTTTTTACTTTTTTTTGTAGAGACAGAGGCTCGTGCAAACTGGTAGCCTTCGCAATCTTGCTAGTACTGTGTCTTGGTTTAAAATTTGTGGTACTCCCCTGCTGAAAACTCTGATTCCCAGTGGCCTGTAGAGTCATATCCCAGCTTTTCAACCTAGTGCCCGGGATTCTCTGGGGCCTGACTCCTGGTTCCCTCTCCAGCCTCATACCTTGCCACACCCTGCCTCACATTCTATAACAGCTGCCTCTGCCATGCTATGTAAGGTCTTTGTTCAATGCTCTTCTTTCTGCCAAGCAGCTTCCTGCCTTGCTCCATCTGGCAGACTCTTACTCATTCCATAGCACGCAGCTTAGGTAGGCATCACCCCCTTCCTAGCTCAGGTGGAGTGGGTGCTCCCGCTGAGTGCTCCCATGCACTTTGTGGTTTCCCCTTCTGTACATTTACCACAGCATACTGATAGATTTGTTTGTGTCTGCTTTCCCAGAGAGGCCAAAAGACCTTCAAGGGACCCCTTTTTTTTTTTTTTTTTTTGAGACGGAGTCTCTGTTGCCCAGGCTGGAGTGCAGTGGTGCAATCTCGGCTCACTGCAACCTTCCACCTCCTGGGTTCAAGCGATTCTCCTGCCTCAGCCTCCCAAGTAGCTGGGATTACAGGTGCACACCACGACGCCTGGCTAATTTTTCTATTTTTAGCAGAGATGGGGTTTCACCATGTTGGCCAGGCTGGTCTCGAACTCCTAAGCTCAAGCGATCCGCCTACCTCGGCCTCCCAAAGTGCTGGGATTACAGGCATGAGCCACCGTGCCCAGCCAGGACTCTGTCTTATTCATCTTTGTAGTCTTGGCAGTAGCTCAGGCCTGGCACATACTATGTGCTTGTCAAATGAAGCTGCTCCTAGTTTTCCCCAACTGAAAGCAACCTTGCTCCTGCAACTTCTATGGCACCCTCTCTATGACTAGTCTACTGTCTTTTCTAGTTTATATCATAGCTTTCTCTCTCTAGGTCTTTTTTTAAAAAACAAGGTCTTGCTCTGTTGCCCAGGCTGCAGTGCAGTGGCATGATCATAGCTAACTGCAGCCTTGAACTCCTGGGCTCAAGGGATCTTCCTGCCTAAGCCTCCAAATAGCTAAGACTACAAGTGCACGCCATTATGCCCAGCTATTTTTTATTTTTTAGTAAAGACAGGGTCTCGCTTTGTTGCCCAGGCTGGTCTTGAGCTCCTGGCCTCAAGTGATCCTTTCACCTGAGCCTCCCAGTGTTGGGATTACAGGCATGAGCCACTGCACCCAGCCTCTCTTTCTAGGTCTTCTGTCTCCTGTTATACTGTAAGTTCCTTGAGGGCAAGGACTGGAGTCTCATTCATCTTTGAATCTACAATAATGGACCCAGTGCTTGCTTCTAGAGTGTCTGAGAGAAAGAGTTCTTAGGAAAACAGAAGAAGGCACTAGCTCCACCCCAGCTTGCTCCTGGGTCCCACTGCTCCCAAACTAGCAGAGGGAGCTTTCACCCTGGTGGCTACGGCCACACCCCTAAAGCTGGACCCGATTTAGGCTACAGACCCTCCTTTGGAGTTGAGAACAGTCTGGACCACTTACCTCCCAGGACCATGATCTTCTTACGAGTGTCCTCACTCAGGAAGGGTTTGATGAGGTTATAGGCCACAGGAAACAGTTTGGGGGCTGGAACAGAGACCAGATAATGTGAGGCTGGGAGCAGTGCCCAGTCTGTCCCTAACAGCGTCCTCTGCAGCACCTGCTACCCTCCTGCCAGCCCATGCTGGGCCACATGTTCCCCAGGGCTCTGGAGCCCACATAGGCAGCCCAGGGTGTGCAGCTCAGCATGGGCATCTTTGAGGTCCAGCCTTCCCATCTTTACAGTGGATATAATCAAATGGTCTCTTCCCATCTCATCAGGCTGGGTGGCTCAAAGGAGATTATAAATACTGAAAGCTCTGTGAGTTGTAAAGTAGTCTGCGTATGTGAAGGGCAGTGTTCTTTTTATTTTATTTTTTTGAGACAGAGTCTTGCTCTGTCACCCAGGCTGGAGTGCAGTGGCACAATCATAGCTCACTGCAGCCTTTTACTCCTGGGCTCAAGCAGTGCTCTTGCCTCAGCCTCAGTGAGCTCTCAGCTCACTGCATCCTCCACCTCCCGGGTTCAAGTGATTTTTGTGCTTCAGCCACCTGAGTAGCTGGGACTACAGGTGTGGGCCACCACGCCCAGCTAATTTCCATATTTTTAGTAGAGATGGGGTTTTGCTATATTGGCCAGGCTGGTCTTGAACTCCTGGCCTCAAGTGATCTGCCCACCTCAGCCTCCCAAAGTGCTGGGATTACAGGAGTGAGCCACTGCACCTAGCCCTATTTTTATTTTTTTGAGATGGAGACTTGCTCCGTCGCCCAGGCTGGAGTGCAGTGGCACAATCATGGCTCACTGCAGCCTTAAACTCCTAGACTCAAGCAATGCTCTTGCCTCAGCCTTTTGAGAAACTGGAACTACAGGCATGCACCACCATACCCAGCTCATTTCCTTAACTTTTTTATAGAGATGAGGTCTTGCTGTGTTACCCAGGCTGGTCTCAAACTCCTGGGCTCAAGAGAGCCTCCTGCCTCGGCCTCCCAAAGTGCTGGGGTTACAGGCGTGAGCCAGCACACTAGCAGGGGCAGCAGTCTTCTGAACATGTCCTCAGACCCCCTCTTTTGGCTCACTGTTTGACCCTCCATCTGCCGCAGTCATGTTTTTGACCCCTCTTTTCCATCTGGCTTTATCACAAGAAATTCCCAACTTACCTTTAACAACAAAAAGACGCTTCAGTGTTTCGGGATAATTTTCCTCAAACATGCAGAGAAACTGTGGAAACAAAATCACTCTTGATTCCAGCAGGCTCAGAATCTGCCCCCATTGCCTCACCCATCCCACAGGACAGCCTAGGAGAGGGGTCTACTCCTCCTCCCCTTCCCTCTGTCCCCTTCCTCCCCACCCCTGCCCCTCACCTCTCCATAGGCCTCCACAGCAGGCTTCCAGAGATGCTTGAGGCCAAGCCCCTCGCAGTCATAAATTATGGTGATGGTCTCCACCTTCCTCCCCAACTGCAGGGAACAGAGAGCAGGAAGTCTTGTCAGGCTGTCCTACTTCAGAAGCCCGTTCCAGTCCAGGCCAAATGATTGCACTGTGCATCCAGAGAGCAATCAGAGCTAGTTAGGGCCGGACCTAGAGTTTTCCAAACTGAGATAATCACCCCAGGCCAGAATTGTGGTCTAGGCGAGTCACTCTTCCTGCCTAGGTCTCTGTGTTCTTTTCCAGTACATGACTGGGTGGATCTAGATGACATCTGAGATGGCTTTGGTTCTGCAGTTTGGCCTGATGGCCTCCCCCTTCCTGAGTCACTGTGTGCTCTGTGCACGGTACCCGTAGAGCCACTTATGCCCGAGGACAGACGTTCTGTGCACCCTGAACCCTCAGGGGTGCATCCACGTCTAATGCTTCCTGCATCCCCAGCTCCGCAGGGTCTCTGCGCACAGTAGGCTCTCTGTGAACATTTGTAGATGAGTGTGGGAATGTTCCTAGACTTTATGACATCATTTCACTGGATCTTTACAACTGCTGAGAGGAGGGCAGGAGGGAAGTGGCAGCTCCTGCTTGTTCTTCAGTCTTTTTCTCAGTAAGGGAATCAGCTATCCTTATTTTTTTTGGCGCAGGGTCTAGCCCTGTTGCCCAAGCTGGAGTGCAGTGGTGCGATCACGGCTCACTGCAGCCTCGACTTCCCAAGTTCAAGTGATCCTCTCACCTCAGCCTCCCTAGTAGCTGGTATATGCCACTATGCACAGCTAATTTTTTACTTTTTTTTGTAGAGACAGGCTCTTGCCATGTTGCCCAGGCTGGTCTTGAACTCTTGGGCTCAATCTGCCCACCTCAGCCTCCCAAAGTGCTGGGATTACAGGCATGAGCCACCACACCCAGCCATCCTTATCTTTTTTAAATACAGAATTAGAGAAGCAAGAATCTGACATCATTTGCACCAGTGGTACCCAAATACTTGCTCAAGGATGGGTTGGTCCACAGTAAGATTTCACTGGGTCCCCATATAAATCAGAAAAATAACAATAATGTAGTGAGTTTTTTATGAAGCTAAATTTATTCAATTTAAAGGACTCCTTTTTTTTTTTTTTTGAGATGGAGTCTCTGTCGCCCAGGCTGGAGTGCAGTGGCACGATCTTGGCTCACTGCAGCTTCCTAAAGGACTGCTTTTTCATCTGAGATTATTGCCATTCTTATAGTTTTGGGTGTTAATGATGGCAACAATAGATGGTCATTGTTTTAAAGTCCTTACATGGCAAAATAGATATTTGGGAATATTCTAAAACTTGGAAATGTCACTGGTCTAGGAAATCCCAAAGCCTGGGCCTCGGCCAGGTCCAGTGGCTCACACCTGTAATCCCAGCACTTTGGGAGTCCGAGGTGGGTGGATCACTTGAGGTCAGGAGTTCAAGACCAGCCTGGCCAACATGATGAAACCCCGTCTCTACTAAAAAAGTTTTAAAAATTAAAAAAAAAAAAAAAAAGGCTGGGCCTTGGCCCTGAAGCTGTGCTTATATTCCTGTGTGACATCCCTGCTTCTGCTGGAATGCCTCTGCTGTGGTCAACTCATTTCTAGCCATGGTGGTCCACTCACCTTTGTGGTCTGGTGGGCACACTCTTGCAGAAGCAGCTCACACTCCCGCATCTTGGTCCTCAGCAGGTCCTGTTTGGAGGCTGAGAACAGCAGACCCTTGGCATCCAGAGGTCCAATTATGTCGTACCAGACTGGGCAGCCATCCAGGTCATAGCCACACATACCCCCTGACAGATACTGTTGGATCACCTGGGCAAAGACACAGAGGAGCCACCTGGTCAGCAGGCATCCATACCTTGCCTGGACCACAGGGCCTTACTCCAGGTTCATCAGTATCTTTCTCTACCTCCCTCTCCTGGGTACCAACAGATGCCCATTCTGGAGACCATCAGGGCTCAGTGGGCATTGTCAGACCTTTCCTCTAAGGATCCAAATCCAGTGGATCCAGGACCCAGGTTGTGGGTCTGAAAGGCCTAGCATAGGGATGAGGTGGGATAATTTGTGCTCACCTCTGGAGGCTGCCAGCTAATGATGTTGTCAATGTCCTTTTGCTTTCGGAACTCCACATGCTACAAAGATACAATGGGGAAATTTTTAAAAGGAGGGATGGACAGCCAGGCATGGTGGTTCACACCTGTAATCCCAGCACTTTGGGAGGCCAAGGCGGGTGGATCACTTGAGGCCAGGAGTTCAAGACCAGCCTGGCCAACATGGCAAAATCCCGTCCCTACTAAAAATAGAAAAATTAGCCAGCTGTGGTGGTGCATACCTGTAATCCCAGCTACTCAGGTGGCTGAGGCATGAAATCACTTGAACCCGGGAGGCGGAGGTTGCAGTGAGCTGAGATCGCGCCACTGCTGCACTCCAGCCTGGGTGACAGAGCGAGACTCTGTCTCCAAAAAGAAAAAAATAAAAAAGAAAACAAAAAGCAGGGATGGTGGGGGAGGTTTAATAGGCATGTAGCAATAAGCGACAGCGTGAATGGACCACCAGATCATAAGTGGTCACCAGAAGGCATTAGGCAGGAATGGAAAAGAAGGCCCTGCCTGTTTTAGAGGTCTTAGCAGAACAGATTATCATTCTTGGCTGGCCCAGAGCTATGAAAGCCTGTGTTGCCAGGGAAGGGAATGCAATTTGTCCCAGAGGGATAAGGCAACAGTGGTCGGCTAATACTCAAAGCCAAAAGCTGTGATTGGGATGGGAGGTGCGGCAAAAGAAGTCCACGCAAGGAGTGATTCTGATGGGGAGGAACTGAAGCAACAGCCAAATGTGTCTCACCTTCCGGAGCATGGCCTCCGACTTCTGCAGGTCGAAGCTTCTGGCTGTAACAGGGAAACAGTTCTGGTCAGGGTTAGGTTAGCAGGACTGGGTGTCCAAGGATGGGGAGATTCCCATATTCCCATGATAGGGCCAGTTCCTCTCAGTCATCTCTCCAGCTAACCCTCAGACCATCCTACAAGCAGAAGCTAACATGAGAGCCTTTACTGAGAACTTCTGGGGCACCACAGGCCCCAGGTTTGCGAGGAGAGCAGGTCAAAGTTCAGGGCAGCTGGGGGCAGCTATTGTAACTTCAGGGTCAAGAGAGCTTTACTCCAGTGGTTATAATCAACTTAAAGGTCTTCCGTCCTCTCAGTGAAAATGAACCCCGGATCCTCTTATCATTTGGCCTTCCCCCTTGCACAAAGTTTATCTCCTCCACAGTCTCACATCCAATCCTGAGACCTTGACACCACAGTTCAAAGATGAACATACCAGCCTGGGCAATACAGTGAGACCTCGTCTCTCCAAAAAAACAAAACAAAACAAAACAAAAAAACTAATTAGCTACAGGTGGTGGCATGCACCTCTAGTCCCAGCTACTTGGGAGGCTGAGGTGGGAGGATTGCTGGAGCCTAGGAGGTGAAGGTTGCAGTGAGCTGAGATCTCGCTACTATACTCCAGCCTGGGTGACACAGCGAGATCCCATCCCAAGAAAAACAAAAAACAAAGATGAATATAGCTGCCCCTGTAATCTGTGGCAGAGCTGGCAGAACATCCCAGTGGGATAGAGGGGTTGATGAGCCTCCACCCAACCTTGTCATGTCCTCAAAGGGCCCACACATTCCCTAAAGCCACACAAAGGGCCTGCCTCCCAGGGCTCCTGACAAGTTTCAGAATTCAGTTTCACCTGGGTCACCTCTTTATGCATGATGCCCCAAAAGTTGTCCTGCTCAAGCTTGAACACAAAGACCTCACTGACCCCCAAGGCCACTTGCTCCCAGGTAATCATAGCTGCAATTTGCACTCAGCTGATTGATACTGAGTTGAGATTCATTTCAGAGACACTCAGAGAGTAGGATTGCCTCCTTAGCCTCATGACAACACTTCCAAGACTGGAAAATTCTGTGCTTTCACTCTGCATCTCCCCTACCATCGTGCTGCCCATCCTTAGAGACTTTACGAAGCCCCACAGCTTGGTCTGAAGTCCATGCAAATAACTTCCCTTTGAGTGTTTTCCAATTTTCCAGAGCCCCCTCAGAGTGTGCTCTAAGAGCCACGCAGAGCCCCAAGTGTTGTCTAAGAACTCTCTTTTTCTTTTCTTTTCTTTTTTTTTTTGAGACAATTTCGCTCTTGTCATCCAGGCTGGAGTGTAATGGTGCAATCTCAGCTCACTGCAACCTCTGCCTCCCGGGTTCAAGCAATTCTCCTGCCTCAGCCTCCTGAGTAGCTGGGATTACAGGCACACGCCACCACACCTGGCTAATTTTTGTATTTTTAGTAGAGATGGGGTTTCACCATGTTGGCCAGGCTGGTCTCAAACTTCTGACTTCAGGTGATCCACCCGCCTGGGCCTCCCAAAGTGCTGGGATTACAGGCATGAGACATTGTGCCCAGCCTAAGAACTTTCTTGGCAACAGGCAACACCCTTAACTCAGGTGGAGCTTATAGGCACTGAAACCCCCCAAATCCTTTTCACCTGTGCCACTGCTAAGCCTCCATTGCATACATGGAGAGGAGAGACCTTAGATCCTTCCCTATCAAATTTCCTCTTGTTACAGTCAACTTCAGTCCATCCTTCAAAGAGTTTTGAGATCCAGATTCAGATCAATTTTGCCATCTGACCTATGAACTGTCCCTCCCAGTTGTATGTCCTCTGTGGATTTGGCATCTAGATTTGCTGACAGTTGTGGAACCTGGGCCAGACAGGCTGCCCTCTGGACTGTCACCGGTCCCTTAACCATCGCTCTCTGGGAGTGCCGAGCACATTCCCTGACTCTGCCGTTATGAAAATCAGTCCCTTCTCCTGGGCCCATAGGCTCCCTCAAGAGATTTGAACAATGCCACACCCATCACAGGTGCCGGACACGTCCTGGCAGAACTGAATCCCACCCTTTTTTGTGTGCTGCCATGGCAGCATGGGACAGCTTTTAGAGGAATATCTTCTGGGTTTGCATCCCAGCTCTTCATTTCTCTGCTTGACCTTGGACAAGATACTGTACATCTCTGACCAAATCATCTGATAAGATAGAAACACTTGGAAGATGCAAGGCACTGTCCTCTCATGGTGGGGGAGTTGGGCCATGAAAATGAGAATCTTCCATAGGAAGGACACCACTATTGTGAGAAGAACCCTTATCTTCTTTTTTTTTTTTTCTTTTTTTTTTTTTTTTTTTTGAGACGGAGTCTCGCTCTGTCGCCCAGGCCGGACTGCGGACTGCAGTGGCGCAATCTCAGCTCACTGCAAGCTCCGCTTCCCGGGTTCACGCCATTCTCCTGCCTCAGCCTCCCGAGTAGCTGGGACTACAGGCGCCCGCCACCGCACCCGGCTAATTTTTTGTATTTTTAGTAGAGACGGGGTTTCACCTTGTTAGCCAGGATGGTCTCGATCTCCTGACCTCATGATCCACCTGCCTCGGCCTCCCAAAGTGCTGGGATTACAGGCGTGAGCCACCGCGCCCAGCCAGAACCCTTATCTTCTTAGGGAACAGGAGTGGTGGCGAACTGTGAGCCCCTTATCTTGGGGAGGCTCTCCAGTTAACCCTTATCTGCCAAGGCCCAACATCCAGCATCTTCTGTGAGGGCTCTCCCAGAGTTGCCACCTGCTCTTGGCAGTACCACACCTGAGGCCTCCCCATGCCTGCTTGAGGCCTCTCCAGGCTCCTGCTGCCCTGGTCAGGGGCAACTCAAAGCATGGCTTGGGGCACTGCAAGAACCCAGCTCAGGAGCAGCTGTCTGGGTGGTGGTGGTTCATTCATTCCCTAGACCTGTAAAATGCAGAGACTCAGACCCGCTCTGCCTCCCTCCCAGGGCTTCCACCACTTCCTTGTTTTATCCTGCTCTCTGATCCTTCTTGCTGGGGTGCCCAGAACTCAGCCTCAGTCAGGGGGAAGCAGAGGAGACTTGCGGACCTGCTCTCCATGCCTGGAAGCCAGCAGAAAACTGAAGCCCTCAGTGGAGAAAGGGAGGGAGAGGAGCCCCAAGCACACACCTGGGTTAGGGACAGACATTCTGCCCGTGTGTGACTTTTATGAAAGGTCTTTGTCAGATTGAAGGAGAGAAAGAGAAAAGGCTGTTTTTTTGTTTGTTTTGTTTTGTTTTATTTTCTTTGAGACAGAATCTTGCTCTGTCGCCCAGGTTGGAATGCAGTGGTGCGATATAGCTCACTATAGTCTCAAACTACTGGATTAAGTGACTTCCCACCTCGGCCTACCGAGTAGCTGGGACTACAGGTGCACGCCACCACACCCAGCTAATTTTTTTTTTTTTAAGTAGAGGCAGGGTCTTGCTATATTGCCCAGGCTGGTCTTGAATTCCTGGGCTTAGGTGATCCTCCCACCTTGGCCTCCCAAAGTGCTGGGATTACAGGCATGAACCACCATGCCAGGCCTTGGTTTTTTGTTGTTTTTTGGGTTTTGGGTTTTTTTTAGGGACAAAAAAAAAAAACCCAATTGAGATTCATATTAGGTTCTGACCAGGCCTGAGCTCCTGCCCAGGAAATGTGAGGCACAAATGAAATGCAGAGGAGACACTTCCTCTGTTGTAAGAGGCTGAGCTTGGCTTTAAGGAGCAGGGGTGGCTTCCTGGAAAGGATACTGGCCTGGAGTCTGGAGTCCTAGGTTTCTGCCCTGATTCTGCTTCGCATTAACTGTAACTTCAGGTAAGTCCCCTCCCCTCTCTGAGCCTGTTTTCTCATCTGGCAAATGAGAATGACCGACCACATTCTTTGAATGACCGCCACTGTGAGGGGGTAGGGTGTGCCTGAAGTATGAGGCTCCCCAGGAATCAGGAGACCAGCTGCCAGGACCCCTGGCTGGCCCCTGCCTCAGTAAGAGAGCTGTGTTGCTGTTCAGTGGCTCTCAGAAACCATGCTTCTCCCCCAACAGCAGCTCCCTAGTCTGCTGGATCATTTTGCAACTGGCCCTTTAAGAAGGCTACTATCTTCCCACTCTCTCCACCCACCTGCTTCTAGCTGCAGCCCTTTAGCAAATGCTGGGCCAAAATTTCCTCCAGCCTGAACTGATTCCACTGCCGCCCCCACACTACCCCTCCACCATCTCTGGGCGGTGGACTGGGGTAGGGGGATGGTATGGAAGCTTTTTTGGGGAAAGGGGCAAGTGACACTTCCAGAGGCTCCTGGATGGATCTGCCCTCAGATGTTTACAAGCAGCCTCTCAGGAGCGTGCCAGCTCTGTGAAATTTCTGGAAAGAAAAGGAAAATACATCTCTTCATCTGCCCCAAGACTCCTAGGGTGTGCATGTGCATGTCTTTATGTGTCCATAAAGAAATAATAGGGCCAGTCACAGTGGTGTGTACCTGTAGGCCAAGCTACTCGGGAGGCTGAGGTGGGAGGATCACTTGATCCCAGGAGTTTGAGGCCAGCAAGACCCTGTTTCAAAAGTAAAAATAGGCCAAGGCGGATGGATCATGAGGTCAGGAATTCGAGACCAGGCTGGCCAACATAGTGAAACCCCGTCTCTACTAAAGATACAAAAAAAAAAAAAATTAGCCGGGCGTGGTGGCGCATGCCTGTAATCCCAGCTACTTGGGAGGCTGAGGTAGGAGAATTGCTTGAAACTGGGAGGTGGAGGTTGCAGTGAGCCGAGATCGCACCATTGCAGTCCAGCCTGGGCGACAGAGTGAGACTCTGTCTCAAAAAAAATAAAAATAATAAAAATAAAAATATAAAATAAAAATAACAGCCAGGTGTGGTGGCTCACGCCTGTAATCCTAACACTTTGGGAGGCTGAGGTGGGCAGATCACCTGAGGTCAGGAGTTTGAGACCAGCCTGGCCAACATGGTGAAACCCTTAGCCGGTGTGGTGGTGGGAGCCTATAATCCCAGCTACTCAGGAGGCTGAGGCAGAAGAATTGCTTGAACCTGGGAGGTGGAGGTGGCAGTGAGCCGAGACTGCACCATTGCACTCCAGCCTGGGCAACAGAGCAAGACTCCATCTCTAAATAAATAAATAAATAAATAAATAAATAAATAAATAAATCACTTGAGACCAGGAGTTCAAGGCAGCAGTGACCTACGATCATGCCCATTGCCTGGGCAGCAGAGTGAGACCCTGTCTCAAAAAAAGAAATTAAAATTAAAATAATAGGGCATAATTTGTACTTTAATATTTTAGGATATGATTCTATACCACACTTTGGGAGGCCAAGGCAGGCAGATCACTTGAGGCCAGGAGTTCGAGACCAGCCTGGCCAACGTGAAACCTAGGTCTCTACTAAAAAGAAAAAAAAAAAGGTAACCTTCTTTTTTTTTTTTTTTTTTTTTTTTTTTTTGAGACGGAGTCTCCCTCTGTCACCCAGGCTGGAGTGCAGTGGCGAAATGTCAGCTCACTGCAACCTCCACCTCCCGGGTTCAAGCGACCCTCCCACCTCAGCCTCCTGAGTAGCTGGGATTACAGGTGCCCGCCACCATGCCCGGCTAATTTTTGTGTTTTTTAGTAGAGGTGGAGTTTCACCATGTCAGCCAGGCTGGTCTCGAAGTCCTGGCCTCAAGTGATCTGCCCGCCTAGCCTCCCAAACTGCTGGGATTACAGGCGTGAGCCACCGCACCTGGCCATAATGGAATTTTCTTTATTATTTCTATGTCTGTTAATAAAATTTCTATATAGAGGGGAAAAAAAGTGTCAGAAGAATCAGGGAGGGTGGCACATGACCTGAATCACAGGAAAGGAGAGGAGGGGAAGGAATGGAAACATCTCAGGGATTGGGGCACCAGGCTGAATTTGACCCTCATGCCAGTAGAAATGTGTGCATTTCAACACCACATGCAGAGTTCTGTCATGTCACGTCTTGCAGCAGGCAGGTCTTGTCCTGCTCTTCCAGAGGAGGATCCTAGGGAAGTATTTACCCTGAACAAGGCACCACAGCCAGGCTGGGGAAGAGCTGGAACCAGGACCTGGGCTCTAGAGCCTGGTGGTGGTTTGAGGAGACTCTTGTCACTCTAGGTCAGGCTGTGCCCCTCAGGTTCCCCATGCACTCTGCCCCTCCCTCAAGTTGCCTAAACTGTGGTCTGCAGGGACCTGCCATCACACTAGGGCATAGCAGGGGCCAGGACTCTGGTTCTACACTTGGCTCTGCCTCCGACCCCCCACATGGCTGGGGCCTTTCTCACTTTTTCTTCAGCCAATTTCCCCAACTCCATCAGCAGAGCAGATTTCTTGAGTAGATGGAAAAGGCTGTGGGCCAAGGGTCAGCCGACCTGGACTCTCCCCTTTTCTCTGCCTGCAGTTCGCTCACTGTGTGGCTTGGAACAAGTCACTTGACCTCTCTGAGCCTCAGTGTCTTTATCCACTAGGAGGGTTGAGCTTATGTCATTGCCAAGGGCCCTTTGGCGCTAAAGGTTGGACACTCTAGATGCCTCAATTGCCAAGGGCAGGGTTTTCAGAGGGTGCTATTCTGTTGCCCAGAACAAGCCCCTGCCCCAGCCTCCCGCAGCCCCTCTTCCCTCACCTCGGAGCCAACGCAGGAGAAAATAGTCATCTGGATTCGGCAGGGCCGGCAGCACATCCTGGACATTCTCCCGAAACTGTAGGGAGAGGCATCGGGGTGAGTGGTAGGGCCCGCCCTGACTGCTGCCCTCTGCCTAGGACTCTCCACTGAGATCTTTGCTGGACGCCTCTTTCTTTGTTTCTTTTTTTTTTTTTTTTTTTTTTTTGAGATAGAGTCTCGCACTCTCGCCCAGGCTGGAGTGCGGTGGGCGATCTCCACTCCCTGTAAGCTCTGCCTCCCGGGTTCACACCATTCTCCTGACTCAGCCTCCCAAGTAGCTGGGACTACAGGGGCCTGCCAACACGCCTGGCTATTTTTTGTATTTTTAGTAGAGACAGGGTTTCACCGTGTTAGCCAGGGTAGTCTTGATCTCCTGACCTCGTCCTGATCCGCCCATCTCGGTCTAAAGTGCTGGGATTACAGGCATGAACCCCCACGCCCGGCCAACTGGACTTCTCTTTAACATAGTTCAACTCTGCAGACACTCCCTGGGCACTCATGCTGCCTGGAGCACTGTCTTGTCAGGGGGTGCCAGGTTGCAGGGCAGGAAGTGGGAAGGGAGTGAGACACTGCCCCTGCCCCACAACAAGGGCTCCCACACACCAGTCTGCGGGCAGGCAGATGTGTTCCCAGCTAATCGTGATAGTAGGCACTCTGATACGGACTGCAGTAAAAGCTGTCAGTTTACCAAGCATTTCCTGTCGCTCAGCGCTGATCTTGGCACCATAGCTTATTTACTCCTCACTCACAACCCGTAGAAGTATTGTCCCCATTCTACAGATGAAGGAATTAAAGCTCAGAGAGGCTAAGTAACATGCCCAAGGTCAAACAGCTAGTCATTAGCAGAGTTGGGATGCAAACCCGGGTCTGTCTGAGTCCAGAGCACACACTCTTTCCACCATGGTCTTCTGCCCCATGGAAGGATGAGGAGTTTGCTGGGGAGCAGAGGGAAGAAAGAGGTGGTCTCACACGGCTTCCTATAAAACATGGCATTTGTGCTGGGCTTGAAGGACTTCAAAGGCAGCGGGGGAGAGAGGTGGGCAACTCAGGTGGAGGGAACAGTTCCAGTAGGGGAAGCCAGGAAGCGGGAAAGTGCAGGTAGTGCCAAACAAAGGAGGTGGACAGTGACCTCAATGGACAGCCACACCTACCTCCAACCTCTCACTCCCTGGTAGGCGAACAGGCCCCTATATGCCCTCCCTGAGCCTCCTGCTCCCAGCCATTCACCTTTCCCTGACCACTGACCTAGAGGGCAGTCCCAGAGGACACTAATGAGGACTGGCCACCTCTGCCCCTTGCCTAGGTCAGCCAGGGACTCAGACCATCCCACCCCACAAAGCAGCTCCCAGTGCACCAGGGAAACTGCTCCTCCAAACTGCAGGCATGAAGCTACCCCTCTCCAAGGACCCTAACCAGCCCCTGGTCTCCAGTTTAATCACCACCTAATCCCTTCTCTGCCTGACCTCTCCTGCGAGTCAGCAGTAAAATCTGAAGCCTCCCTGTCCAGCCTTCCTGGGATGGGGGAGGCCCAGCCTGGGACAGAGGCTTTATGGAGCTGGTGCCTCCCCACTGCTGCCAGTGGCAGGATACATCTGCCCCCCGCCCCACCTTTCCCAGCCATGGAAAACTCCCCAGCTGTGGAGCCTCCAAATCTTGGGGCCAGACCCTATCGGCTCTTGCCCAGAGAAGAGCCGACCTCCTCACTCCCCAGGGGTGACAGATAAGAGATTTAGTTCGTGAAGAGGAAGGTCCCGCCCTCAAACTGTTGCCCCCTCCTTGTCACAGATGCCAAGGCAAAGCCAGGCTCACCTTCTTGCCTTCTGAGGAGCATAAACCTTAAGTCCTGAACCAGGCAGGGGTCTGGGATGCAAGATAGGGGACGGCTGGTCTCAGCTCAAACTAACACCAACCCAGTGCCTCATGGGGGGAGCCTGGAATTCACACACGGAGGTGTTCCCTTCAACATCATCTGGTCCAACCTCCTCATTCCATGGCATCGAGGAGCAAAGAGAAGGGCAGGGTTTTGCCCAAGGTCGCACAGCGGCTTGGTGCCGGGGCAGGAGCTATCCAAGTCTCCCAAGGAGCTATCCAGAGCCCTTTCCATCGTGCCACTGACCCTACAAGAAGAAAGCCTCCCGGAAATGGGAGGAAACTTGGGCCCCTGCCCCTGCCCCTGCCCCAGGGCCCGGCTGCCAGTCCCGAGGATGAATGTTGCCTTTGTGCCCTCAGCGGCCTCCGGGGACTCACAAGCAACCACTTGTCCCCAGGTGGCACCGCCACGGCTGCTCAGAGCTTGGGCGGGGGGTGGCCAAACTTCCTGGGACCTCGAGGGTGGCAAAGGGAGGAAGGAGCCATCCGCGGGCGCGGGCCAGGCTGGGACAGCCGCCTCTGTTCCCTCCGCCGCCCGCCACGGACCCTCGGCCCCCACCCAGCCCCGTCCCTTCTCGCTGCCGCAGGAGGGCGAGGGCCACAGCCCGAGGCGGGAGCCCGGGCCAGGGCTACAGCTCACCTTGGCCAATGCCTCCTTCTGCCTGGGGCTCAGATCGCCGACTCTGCCGCTCATCGTGGCTCAACCGCGGGGATGGGGTTTGGGGGCGGGAGGCGGCGGGTGCGGCAGCTGATGGAGCACAGACTCGTCCTCGCCGCCACCCGGAGTAAAGTCCCAGCCTTTTGCCCGGGCCGCGGAGCTGGCAGCCAAGCCCCGCCTCTTAAAGGATCCCGAGAGGCGGAGTAGGGAGCGATGCGCTGGGGCGCGGAAGGCTCTGACACGGGCCCCCTCCGCCCTCCTGAAGTCAGAGACCCAGGCAGGAGGCGAGCAAGTGTGCCCACTGGGACTGAGGCCAGTGGGCATCAGAAGGGCAGGGAGTCTCAGTTTTAGTTCCAAATTTATCCTTACCTCATTGTGTGACCTTGGAAGAGACACCTGAGCTCTCTGGGCCTCTGAACAAGGAGGGATTGAAAGGTGCTATCTAATGAGCTCTTCTAACCAGGCTCGCATAGTGCAGGACAGCACAGCATCCTGCACACAGGGATTGTTTTTGCATTGTTTTTTTTTTGAAACGGAGACTCGCTCTGTCACCCAGGCTGGAGTGCAGTGTCACGACCTCGGCTCACTGCAACCTTCGCCTCCCGGGTTCAAGCTATTCTCCTGCCTCGGCCTCCCGAGTAGCTGGGATTACAGGTGCACGCCACCATGCCAAGCTAATTTTTGTATTTTTAGTACAGATGGGGTTTCACCATGTTGGCCAGGCGGGTGTCGAACTCCTGACCTCAAGTGATCCGCCTCGGCCTCTCAAAGTGCTAGGATTACAAATGTGAGCCACGGTGCCCAGCCTACAGGGATTATTAATAAATGTATCCTGAATGAATGAATGAATGTAAGAACTGCTCCAATAGAGACACAGATCCCGGGGCTGGCAGAACCCTGAGAGGGAGAGAGAAACATAGATCATTCAGGGATCATGCAACTTACCTCGTTTAACAGCTAGGGAAACTGAGGCCCAGATAAGGCATGGCTTGCCCAAAGTTGTTAGTGGCATGACATATGTGGAGTGCCCACTGCCTGGCACATGGAAAGTGCTCAGCTGTGCCCTCCCCTTATGGCCTGGAATTAATGCAGAGCTAGGTCCAGGAGTCTGTGGGCATCTCGTCTCCCAGAGCCATACTTCTGCCCCCTCAACACTCAAGTCTCTGGGAGAGACAAAGCAGAATGTCCCCAGTCTCTCTCCTTACCTGGAGGCAAAGGCACCAGGCCTGTTAAAGACATTTAAGGACTTTGCTCTGCCCTTGGTGTGGCCCCCTCCATAGACGCCTGCTGCAGGGTGCAGAGTGAGGGTTGAGGCCCCCAACGCCCACCTCTACAGAGAGTTTTCAGGCAGTTCTGCCCTAGTTAGGCTCGCTGGCTTCTGGCCTGGGGCAGGACAGGGCTGCCTTCCTTACTGGATACATGGCTAAGATCTTTATATAAGACCCTTCCAGGGCCAGGATATTCTTTCCAGGCTAGAGCCTACTCAAAGGAAACTATTATAGAAGAACAGCATCTTGGCCGGGCGCGGTGGCTCACACCTATAATCCCAGCACTTTGGGAGGCCAAGGCAGGCAGATCACCTGAGGTCAGGAGTTTGAGACTAGCCTGGCCAACATGGTGAAACCCCGTCTCTACTAAAAATACAAACATTAGCTAGGCGTGGTGGTGTGCATCTGTAGTCCCAGCTACTCAGGAGGCTGAGGTGGGAGAATTGCTTGAACCTGGGAGGCAGAGGATGCAGCGAGCTGAGATCACACCATTGTACTCCAGTCTGGGGCGACAGAGCAAGACTCCCTCTAAAAAAAAAAAACAAACAAACAAAAAATAAAAACAAGAAGCACAGCCTCTTATATTGGTTCAGCAACTTAGAGCTCACAAGGTACCTTCAGATCTAGCTTGTCACTTAAGTGTGGGACAATCCTCTAAGGTAGGCAGGTCAGGTGACTTATTGAGGAGCCTGAGGGAGAGGTGGTCATAGGTGGGCACGTGCAGAGTTGGGACTTAAACCCAAGTTTGTGGTTTCTAGGCCGTATGCTCCCAGGCCAAGGTGTGGACGGGCCTGGGAACTGCCTGCGAAAGTTACCCACGAAAGTACAAGATCACCTTCACCCAGCAGGATACAGCCCTCCCCGCATCTGAAGTTACCCAAATAAAAGCCTCGGTAAAGAACCCTTCCCCAGGCCTGCCCTTCCCAGGTTCAACAGCTGCCTCTTTCTTCTTCCTCCACTGAGACTTAACCTACTTCTGGCCCACCATAAAACAGCTAGTTAATTTGATCATATAAATCCTAAATAGGCCCAGGCTCGGTTGCTCACACCCGTAATCCCAGCACTTCGGGAGGCTGAAGTGGGTGAATCACCTGAGGTCAGGAGTTCAAGACCAGCCTGGCCAACATGGTGAACCTCGTATCTACTAAACATACCAAAAAAAAAAAAATTAGCCAGGCATGGTGGCACACACCTGTAGTCCCAGCTACTTGGGAGCCTGAGGCAGGAGAATCGCTTGAACCCAGGAGGTGGAGGCTGCAGTGACCCAAGATGGCACCATTGCATTCCAGCCTGGGCGACAAAGCAAGGCTCTGTCTCAAAAAAAAAAAAAAAAAAAAAAAAAACCTAGCCAGGCACAGTGGCTCACGCCTGTAATCCCAGCACTTTGGGAGGCTGAGGCGGGTGGATTACCTGAGTTCAGGAGTTTGAGACCAGCCTGGCCAACATGGTGAAACTAAAAATACAAAAATTAGCCGGGCATGGTGGCGGGCGCCTGTAAACCCAGCTACTTGGGAGGGTGAGGCAGGAGAATCGCTTGAACCCAGGAGGCAGAGGTTGCAGTGAGCCGAGATCACGTCACTGCAGTCCAGCCTGGGCAACAGGAGAGAAACTCGGTCTAAAAAAAAAAAAAAAAAAAAACAAGCAAACAAACAAAAACACATAAATAAATAATCTGGTGAAGTCCTGGAGCTGGCTAACAAGAGAGAGTCCCTCCTTCCCATCCCCACTTTTTCTCCATCCCCTAATCCCTGCCCTACAGTTCTTCCTCCCTGCTAGGTATGTTGCACCCCTGCTCAAGAATCTTCAATGGCTCCCCGGTTCCTTCCTGAGTTGACTCAATCCCACTGATCTGCATTTGAGGCCTACCCCCACCCCAGCCCAGCATTCCTTGTGGCACCAACGGCCACTTGCCCTCTCCACACACTTCATTTCAATCTGAGAAGCTTCCCACTGTCCCTTAGACACACCTCTGCCCTCCTGCCTCTGTGAGAGCTGCTGCTGTGTCCTGTATCCTCCTGCCAGGTCTTCCCCAGCCCTCAAGACTCTGATCAAATACTGTTTCCAGGAGCTTCTCCCTGAGCTACCCAATGCAACACGACCTCTGCCAACCAGAAGTCCCCTTTCCTGGCCTTGATGTGGACTATTTTGCATTGTAGTGGCAACTCTCAGGGAATAGCATGGCCCAACAGGAAGAACCAGGCCTCCTGGGTCAGGCAGGCTGGAGGGGAGAACCTTCTGTGATGGGTGTGTTGCTCTGGGTATATCTTGCTGGGGACTTTGCTTAGGGGAACATAGAGTGTGAACAACTTAAAGAAGGCTGGTGGCACGCAGAGATCTAGAAGCGTTGGGATGGCAGTCCTAGCGTTGACAGAGCCCTGTGCTTCAGATTCTTCTGGGGGGCAGCTCTGGGCACAGGAAGGAGCACTGGACCGGGAGTCTGGTGTGTGGGCTGGAGACCATGTTCTTGCTTAATGTGCTGCCGTGACTATTCCACAAGACGCATATTTGGGGGTCTCCTCAGGGCTGCTGGCCGTGCCCTCTAGACCTTGGTTGTTTCCTCACTAAAATGAGGGCACTGGCCTTGAGATCAGAGGCCTCCTGCGTGCCCTGGCCTCAGAATCTGTGGTGCCAGGGGGAAGGGGGTGGCACAGAGATTGGCATTGTGATTTGAGAGTTGGAAAGAACAGTCTTTTAAACTCTTCACAAATATTTGTGGAACACTCTACTTCCACGGGGCCAGGGCAGCGCGAACTCTCTGGAAAACCCTTGTGCCTGCGGGCAGCCATGCAGAAAAGCCCTGGCCCCAACCTCCTCCCCTCCTCCCAGCCCAGCCCTGTGGGGCTTGCAGCTGCCTCAAGTCACCTGCCTCCTCTGGGTGTCTGTGATCTGGGGAGAGAACTAATCCCGCCACTGTGAGAATTCCAAGTGAAATAATGGCTGGGGAAGTGGTGGGCGCACACAGGTGAGGGATTATTATTCTATCATGTTGCTTCTGAAGGCACAACAGAGAGTGAGAAACTAAGCCTGTCTGGCTCCTCCCCCGAGCCCCACTTCCTCCTCACTTCTGCAGTCCAGCCTGGCTTTGCAAAGAAACAAAATCCTCTCCCCACCCCACTTCCCACACTCGAACCCCTGATTAAGTCCCTTACCTTCCTGGGTATCACTGTCTAATCCCTAAGCCCTTTCTCACCAGTCTCCAGTTGTCTCCAAGAGCCAAATCCCTTTAGAATGAGGTGGCCCAGATAGCTGTGAGCACAGAGGCTGGGGGCAGGGAGCTGGGACCTCAGGAGTCCCCCAGAGGGGAGGGGAGGGCCGGAGGGGTGCTGGGGCCCCTGCTATGGCTCTGGCACTAGCTGGCAGGAGCCTGGGGACTTCGCTTGGGAAGGATGGGTTGCCATTTCCACCCCAAATAGAGCTAAAATAGAGTCCAGATTCGGTAGGCAAGCTTGTTCCCACACCAGTGACCTCTCAGAGCAGAATGGCATAGGAGTGGGCCCACCAACTCTGGAACCAGACTACCTAGGTTTGGGTCCGGGTTCTATAACCTAGCAAAGTTACTTGACCTCTGCCTCAATTTCTCATCTGTAAAATGGCAGTGATAATCTTACTACCTCATGTGATTGGAATGAGATTAAATGAGCGAATTCATGAAAAAAACGTTGAAGAGTACCTGGAACACTGTAAAGCTATTGGCTGTTTTTTTAAATTTTTTGTGGGTTTCTTTTTGTAGAGATGGGGGTCTCACTATGTTGCCCAGGCTGGTCTTGAACTCTTGGCCTCAACTGATCCTCCCACTGTGGCCTCCCAAACTGCTGGGATTGCAGGCATGACCCACTGTACCCAGCTGGTATCAGCTGTTTTCACTTGCATTCTCTGTTTCTTCTCTTGAATATTCTTGCCATTCAGGTGCCAGCCCACACACCACCTCTTAGAGAGGTCTCCCTTCCCTGGTAATGAGGTTGAAGTGGCCTCTGGCCCCCAGCCCCTCTCTGAGGCTATTTTATCTCATTCCTGTGGCACCTACCGTGGCCTGAAATGATCTTGCTTGTGTATGTGGTTATGGTTTTCTCTCTGTTCTCAAGGGCAGAAGCCATTGCTGGTCACGGTCACTGCTCCATGCCCAGTGCCTAGCACCGAGAAGTCCTTTGATATCCATTTGTGGGCATGACGCTCACCCTGTCCCTGAGAGCTGGACCCAAGGAAGGAGCAGGACCCCCTCTACTTTACAGCCCATGCCACAGTTAAGCTGCGGCTACTTTGCATCTGCCCTGTGTGATCTTGAGTGAGTCATCGACCCTCTGAGCATCTGGGTGAGTGGAGGGAGGTGGCAGATGGAACTAGGCAATCAAGGGACACTTTAAGATCTTCTAAGACAACTTGTTTTATGTGCTGGGCCTCATGTCCATAAGGTAAAGGAATCTTAGGGACCTCCATGTTCTAAAAATACCACCACCTCAGGCCTAGCCGTCCCTGTGGCCACTGGGCCAGAAGCCCCCACTGATGGTGACACATTTCCATGAGTTAGGCATTGTCTGCTTCAAGGCCCTTTTTGTACAAAACAAAGTCACTGGGCCCCATGTGGCCACATTCCCCAGGGACCAGCCTGCCACCTGGTGGCAGCTTGATTACATTGGCCTCTTCCTCATAGGTGGGGCCCAGGTTCATGCTCACTGGAATAGACACATATTCTAGATGTGGATTTGCCTTCCCTGCCCTTCATCCTTCTGCCAGCACCACCATCTGTGTACTCACGGAATGCCTTTTTTTTGGCATTTGCACAGCCTGGTGTGTGACCAAATAACTCATTTCACAGCAAAGGAAGAGAAGCAGAGGGCTCAGGTTCACGGAATTCAAGGGCCTTGTCATACACCCCATTCCTGGTACCAATTCTAAAACATTTCATCCTCATCACCACCCCCTTCCACTGCTGAGGTAACATATTCCATGCCTCACACTTTCATTAGTAGCTTTGTTTCTTCCTAGGTCCCCCTGCAACTTTACAGAATAAGGAGAGACAGAGGAATTGGGGCCTTCTCCATGCAGGTCTCTGCCCAGCCCAGGGCCAGGAAACCTTGTATCCCAAGAAACAAGCTACTTGGAATCACAGCATGTCTGATGAAAGGCCCTCCCAAGTCATTTAGTCCAAGCTCCCATTTTACAACTGAGGACACAGGCCAAGAAAACGGAAGTGGCTTGCCCAGAGGCCCATGGTGAGAGAGTGACAGTCCTGTCCGCTCTAGCTCCCCACCCTCTCTTGGGAGTTTGGATCTGCGGGTTGGGCTACTCCAGAGAGAGCCCACAGGGCTGAGGGTCCTGTTGTCCATCCCTGGGAGCAGGGTGCCTGCATGTCTCTTAGCTGGCATCCCTTCCCCCGCTTCTGGGGTCCTCCAGTCCCCTTCTCCTCAGATACTCCACTCCCAGGCAGGGCCTCAAGGTCACTCGTCTCCTTGCAGTCAATCTCCCACCCTTGGCTGCCTCACTTCCTGGGCTTACACTGCACTCTGCCCCCCGCCAGCATTGGCTCCAATCTTTACTGTTTCTTTACCCACCCCCTAACCCTCCTCACCCCAAAGCAGCAGAAGGCCCCTGGCTGGGCTGAGCTACACCCACCCACGTTGAGGTAACATCCTCCAGCTCTTGTTCCTTCTGCGATAACCAGGGGTTACCCCATGGAAGAACACACCACAGGGAACTGGTTACCCACCAAGTTTGCAAGGGGGCTCCGGCTCCCACTGATGGAAGGCTAGGATGTGGATATTTGTAGGGAAGCAGAACTGTGTTCTAGGTGGGGGACAAGCGTGAACAAGGACCTGCATCTGGTTGGAGTGTGTATGTTGAGGGGTGACTAGGTCAGTGGGGTGAAGGGTAGGGAGAAAGTGGGGACAGGGCAGGCAGAACATGGAGCCAAAGACCTGGCTGATTACAGGGTGCATCCTTGCAACCCTGTTGTTGGGGCTGACAGATGGGCTGGGACAGTCACAGAAATGGAGAAGCAAGCCTCTTCACGGGCACCACGGGGCTTCCACAGTGCATTTTGTAGCTTATGAAGAGTGCTTTCCCACATATGAAAAAACGTTAGTAACATATCCAATTAGTGATCCTTTATCCTTGGGCGATACATTCCAAGATCCTCAGTGGATGCCGGAAACCTCAGGTAGTGCTGAAAACATACTGTGTTTCTTCAATCTGATAACTCTGAGGCCTACTAAGTGACTAACAGGTGGTAACATTTACAGCGTGGGGAGGATTCATATCCAGGGAGGGATGGAGAGGAAGGGCAAGAGATTTCATCATGCTACTCAGAACAGCATGCAATTTAAAACTTATGAACTGTTTATTTCTGGAATTTTCCATTTAATATTTTTTTGGACCTCGGTTGGCTGAAGGTAACTAAAACCTCAGGTAAGGGGAGACTACTATAGACCAATGGAACAGAACAGAGAATCTAGCTACGTGCAGTGGCTATTGCCTGTAAGCCCAGCACTTTGGGAGGCTGAGGCAGGCAGTTCCCTTGAGCCCAGGAGTTCAAGACCAGCGTGGGCAACATGGTGAAACCCTGTCTCTACAAAAAAAAAAAAAAAAAAAAAAAAAATTAGCTGGGCATGGTGACACACCCCTGTGGTCTCAGCTACTTTGGAGGCTGAGGTGGGAGAATCAGTTGACCCTGGAGGTTGCAATGAGCTGAGAAGGCACCATTGCATTCCAGCCTGGGCAACAGAGAGAGACCCTGTCTCAAAAATAAATGCATAAATAATTTTTTAATGCTTAAACTTTTACTTTTCTTATTTAGGTCTTTAATCTATATGGAATTCATATTTTGTATATGATGTGTATGTAATAGGGGTCTAATTTCTTCTCCTAATGGTTAATTCAATTTCTTAGCACAATTTACCAAACAGTCCATGCTACTGCCTCCTTGTATCTCCACAAACACAATGTTTCCTCTGATGTACACCATCTTTAGATGTGTGGGTCAGTTTCTGGCCTATTTCATGTTCCATTTGTCTGTCTTTAGGCTGATATCGGGGGCTGTCTTATATACCCGTCTCACACTTCTTCAGGAGCAACTTGGTCATCCCATATCAGTGTTCCTACAGGTGTTCACTGTAAAATTCTTTCAATTTTTCTGGAGAAAAAAGAGTGTTGTGGCTCATCTGGCCCAGGTTGGAGTGCAGTGGCACCATCTCAGGTCACTGCAAGCTCCGCCTCCCGGGTTCACGCCATTCTGCTGCCTCAGCCTCCCGAGTAGCTGGGACTACAGGCGCCTCCCAACATGCCCGGCTATTTTTTTGCATTTTTAGTAGAGACGGGGTTTCACCTTGTTAGCCACGATGGTTTCGATCTGCTAACCTCATGATCCGCCTGCCTCAGCCTCCCAAAGTGCTGGGATTACAGGCGTGACCCACCGCGCCCTGCCCACCATACAATTTTTAAAGGCTCAGGTTTCAGACTGAGCCAGCTCCCAGCAGCCCCAACCCTTGGAGAAACGGACAAGTTTTAGAACAGTAGTGGAACTTCCACATTCCAGTAGACATTTGAGTTATTTGCTGGGGGTGAGGCAGTGTTGATTGTACATGGTGCTTATTTATTTATTTATTTATTTAGAGACGGAGTTTCACTCTTGTCGCCCAGGCTGGATTCCAATGGCGCGATCTCGGCTCGCCGCAACCTCCGCCTCCCGGGTTCAAGCGATTCTCCTGCCTCAGCCTCCTGAGTAGCTGGAATTACAGGCATGCGCCACCACGCCCGGCTAATTTTGTATTTTTAGTAGAGACGGGGTTTCTCCATGTTGGTCAGGCGGGTCTCGAACTCCCGACCTCAGGTGATCCGCCCGCCTCGGCCTCCCAAAGTGCTGGGATTACAGGCGTGAGCCACCGCGCCCGGCCTATGGTGCCCATTTCACAGATGAGGGAAGTGACCCAGCCTCTCGGTCCCACTGAGGCACTGAGTCCCTGCCTGCTTCGTTTTGCCTTGCCCCCCAGCCCCTTTCCCCTGCCCCTCTATCTCCCCTGTCGGCTTCCCACGCCAGTCTCTGGTTCTCTGCCTCCTGCTGTTTAGTGGGGTCGAGACAGGGAGGACCGGGGAAGAGAGGGATGTGACTTGGCCCTGGCCACCCCGTGGGTCCACGGGGCTGCCGCAGAACAAGGGCCTGCCACCAGGCCCCTTAGACATCCCTTGCTCCTGCCCTTCTCAGGCTCTGATCGTGTCTCTGCTCCCCCAGGTCGCCCTTTCCAACTATTTTCCTGTCTGCCCCGCTGACGCGTCCGCTGCCGAAGCACCTCCTCTCTCTGACTTTCCGCCTTCCCGCTGCGACCCCGGTTTTGCCCCTCTCCAGCTCCCTCAGCCGCGGGCACCTGAGCTCTCCGCGGCCACCAGGGGGCGCCCGCGGCCCAGTCTGGGCGCGAGAGCCGCCAAGCGCCCACTCCGTTCCTCCTGGTGCCCCGCCCCGTCCGGCCGCGGCCCCGCCCCTCCCGGCGCCCCGCCCCGTCCGGCAGCGGCCTCGCTCCCTCCGATCCCCCCCGCGCCCGGGACCCCTGGCCCCACTGTTGGGCCAGCTCGCCGGGTCCGGCCATGGGCCCCGCCGCTCGCCCCGCGCTGAGATCGCCGCCGCCGCCTCCGCCGCCGCCTCCGTCTCCGCTGCTGCTGCTGCTGCCCCTGCTGCCGCTGTGGCTGGGCCTGGCGGGGCCCGGGGCCGCGGCGGACGGCAGCGAGCCGGCGGCCGGGGCGGGGCGGGGCGGAGCCCGCGCCGTGCGGGTGGACGTGAGACTGCCGCGCCAGGACGCTCTGGTCCTGGAGGGCGTCAGGATCGGCTCCGAAGCCGACCCGGCGCCCCTGCTGGGCGGTCGTCTGCTGCTGGTGAGCGCTGCTGAGCCATCTGGCCGCATCACTAAACCCCTCTCTCAACCCTCCCTAGAGACCCCGCACCCTGAACCGACGTTCATCCTCCACCAAGCCTTGAGAGTCCAGCGCCCCTCCCCAGGCTCCCCAGGCCCCCAGCATTCCGGCTTCCCAAACCAGAGAGCCAGATGCTCTGGGAACTCTGGCCTTGGCATCCACTGTGATGACCCCGGCTCCCTCCCCCACCACACCCTACCTCCCTCTGCTCATGGCCCCTTGCCACACAGATGGACATCGTGGATGCCGAGCAGGAGGCACCAGTGGAAGGCTGGATTGCAGTGGCATACGTGGGCAAGGAGCAGGCGGCCCAGTTCCACCAGGAGAATAAGGGCAGTGGCCCGCAGGCCTATCCCAAGGCCCTGGTCCAGCAGGTGCAGGGGATGTCTATGGGGGAGGGGGCTGGAGGAAAGGATTCCAAGGCATCTGCTAGAGCCAGGCCCTCCTTAGATGGGCCCTTAAGAGCTTGCAGAGAAGCCCTAGGCCTGGTGGGTCAGGGCACCCCAGTTTGAAGAATGGAGTCAGTATGGCTTCGAAGCAGGGAGGTGAGAGGAGGCCAGAGAGAGGTTGAGAAGCTTGACCAGGCTCTGAGAGTATGGGATGGGGGAGCTGCTGCTGACGACCACTGCTGGGACTGCCCTGATAGGACCGGGGAAGGCACAGCGCATCTGGAAGGGAGGCAGGAGGAAGAAAGCAGTTTCCACCTTTGACCTCAAGGAGCTTATGGCAGTCTGTCCAGAGTTTTGCTCACTGCAGGGCCAGGAGCTAAGAGCAGCTAGGGCTGCAGGTGGTGAGACAGGTGTGCAGGCAGGGTATATGCTAGCCTCTCGCCTTCTATCCCTCTGCAGATGCGGCGGGCCCTCTTCCTGGGTGCCTCTGCCCTGCTTCTTCTCATCCTGAACCACAACGTGGTCCGAGAGGTAAATCGGACCAGGCCGTGAGGGTAAGCAAGCTGGGGAAAGGGGGACCCAGGCCTGCTGACCTCCTTGTCTCCCTGCAGCTGGACATATCCCAGCTTCTGCTCAGGCCAGTGATCGTCCTCCATTATTCCTCCAATGTCACCAAGCTGTTGGATGCATTGCTGCAGTGAGTTGGTATTTAGACTTCAAAGGACTGACCCTGGGTACAGAGAGCCCCTGGTTCTCCCATGGACTGAGGGGGCTTGGGACCAGGGCCTTACCTGTTAGCCTTTTTTTTTTTTTTTGAGATGGAGTATCACTCGTGTTGCCCAGGCTGGAGTGCAGTGGCGCAATCTCGGCTCACTGGAACCTCTGCCTTCCAGGTTCAAGTGATTCTCCTGCCTCAGTCTCCCAAGTAGCTAGGATCACAGTCATGTGCCACCACACCCAGCTAATTTTTTGTATTTTTAGTAGAGACAGGGTTTCACCATGTTGGCCAGGCTGGTCTTGAACACCTGACCTCAGTTCCACCTGCCTCGGCCTCCCAAAGTGCTGGGATTACAGGCAGGAGCCCCCGTTGCCACTGCTGCTGCTGCTGCCCCTGCTGCCACTGTGGCTGGGCCTGGCAGGGCCCGGCCTAACTGTTAACTTTTTTTTTTTTTTTTTTTTGAGATGGAGTTTCGCTCTGTCACCCAGGCTGGAGTGCAGTGGCGCGATCTCGGCTCTCTGCAAGCTCTGCCTCCCGGGTTCATGCCATTCTCCCACCTCAGCCTCCCAAGTAGCTGGGACTACAGGTGCCCACCACCATGCCCGGCTAATTTTTTTGTATTTTTAGTAGAGACGGGGTTTCACCATGTTAGCCAGGATGGTCTCGATCTGCTGACCTTGTGATCTACTCGTCTCGGCCTCCCAAAGTGCTGGGATTACAGGTGTGAGCCACCGTACCCAGCCAACTGTTAGCTTTAAGACTGCCCTCTCGGCTGGGAATGGTGGCTCATGCCTGTAATCCCAGCACTTTGGTAAGCCAAAGAAGGAGTATCACTTGAGTCCAGGAGTTTGAGACCAGCCTGGGCAACATGGCAAGACTCAGTCTCTACAAAAAAATACAAAAATTAGCTGGGCATGGTGGCACATGCCTGTAGTCCCAGCTAATCAGGAGGCTGAAGTGGGAAGATCACTTGAGCCCCGGGGGTAGAGGCTGCAGTGAGCTGTGACTGTGCCACTGCACTCCAGTCTGGGTGACAAAGGGAGACCCTGTCTCAAAAAAAAAAAAAAGAAAGACTGTCCTGTCCCAGGCTGAAAAATGGGTGAGGGGATGGGAAGGAGGTGCCAGAGCCTGGAGCTTGGAGCAAGGAAGTGGCTCTGTGGGCAGAGAGGACTGGCCCCAGCAAGGAGGAAGATGGACTTGCAGGCTTCCCTGGCCTGGCTGGTGTGAAAATTGGAAAAACCAATAGAGGGAAAAGGCCTGGGGCAAAGTGTAAGGCCAGCAGGGGCGACAGTCGTAGGTATCCTTTTCCTGCAGAGCTGGGGTGGGTGGGTCTGGGCCTCCCTTCCCAAGAGTCCTTCCATCTGGCCCCGGTGACTTCCCCTCCCAGGAGGACCCAGGCCACGGCTGAGATCACCAGCGGAGAGTCCCTGTCTGCCAATATCGAGTGGAAGTTGACCTTGTGGACCACCTGTGGCCTCTCCAAGGATGGCTATGGAGGATGGCAGGACTTGGTCTGCCTTGGAGGCAGTCGTGCCCAGGAGCAGGTGGGTGCTAGCAGATTACATGGGGCCTAGGGAAAGGAGGCTCGTGGGGCCATATACATGGCTTTGTATTGAAAATCCTGTGGCTTCTCCCCACCTTAGTGACAAGGACGGCCTTTCCCACCCCACAGGAGTGCTGTGAGTGTTCAGAGACATGGTGTAGGTGGGCGCTCAGTTGGGGCGCCTGGGCCAGGTCACATGTAGTCAGTGTTAGCTGCCGTCCTCATGTTCTGCAGGCATTGGGAAGCCTTATTCCACTGCCTGTAAAATTCAGACCCCTCTGCGTGGCTTTCCCAGCTCTCTGCATCACTCACTCACTCTATTTTTCTAGTCCTTTTTCCTATGCTCTGGCCACCCTGTACCAATGACTGCATATGCCCAGGCCTTCTGCCACTGGGCCTTGTCTACACCTGGCTGTAGACGTGGACACCTTTTCTGTGTCCACACGTCCTAGTCTAGCTAGAACCTTCACAACTCATCCTGCCACGTTTCTTTGGAAAGCCTCCCTCCCACCCCAGCTTGAAGTCCCCTCCCTCTCTCTCTCTTTTGTATCACAACAAGGCGTGGTCAGGCCGTCCATGGGCTTCTTGGGACAGCCCATCCTGCATGTGATGAGGCGCGTCACTTTGTCTCCTGACAGCCAGGACTGTGTTTTATCGTCTCTGGATTTCCAGCGCTTGGCATCAGGGCATTCAAGGGTATTCTGTCCACAAGCATTTCTTGAGTCCCTACTCTGCTGGGCAGTCACGTCCCGGTCTCCTGGTGTACAGCCTCCAGCAGGTGTTGGCCACCGTGGGCTGTGCAGGGCAGCTTCAAGTGGGGCAATCTTGGGATCAAATCCTGGCTTGGAAACCTTAGCTGGCTGGTCTCAGCTGGGAGTTTCACCTCTCTGGCCTCATGTTCCTCATTTGCAAACAGGGACGGTACTCTGTGTATCCCTGTCATGGGTGGCCCACACAGGCCTCTGGACAGGGCAGGCATTGGTGAGAGGCTTGGGGTGGGGCTGAGCGCAGTCTGCAGGTGGGTCTGGCTGCTCAAGAGGGCAGACCTGAGCAGCCTTGGCCAGGCTGCAGGCTGGGGTCAAGGTGGTCCCAACCCAAGTATTGGGTGGCCATGGCCACTAAAGTGTCTGAAGGGTGGCTGGAGGAGGCATCTCAGTGGCTGGCCTGATGGGCATCGGGCTCTCAGTCCTGACCCCAGGGCCCAGTCACTGTGCCTCCAGCCTCTGGGAGTCCAGAGCAGCAACACTCATGTATCAGGAAGGTCTGATGAACAGCAGTGGCACGATCTTGGCTCACTGCAGCCTCGACCTCCTGGGCTCAAGTGACCCTGCCACCTCAGTCCCCCAAGTAGCTGGGACTACAGGCACGTGCCACCATGTCTAGCTAATTTTTGTATTTTTTGTAGAGATGGGGTTTCACTATGTTGCCCAGGCTGGTCTCGAACTCCTGAGCTTAGGCATTCGGCCCACCTCGGCCTCCCAAAGTGCTGGGATTACAGGCGTGATGAACCACCATGCCCAGCTAATGAACAGTCCTTACTGCTCTGATGGCAAGCTCCCATCCTGCCCTCCATCCTCACCTGGGGCTCTGCAAGGTGTGTTCCCCAAGATGCACTGAACCTGGGGCACATAGGGCTCCCCAGGATGCAGTGAGCCTGGGGAGGCTGGGTCTTTGGCCTGCAGCGGAGCTTCAGGCCGGCCACACTTTCAGCCCACCCAGCTGGCTGCTCTGAGGCATGGAGCTCTACAGCAGGCTCTGCCCTGGAGAGCTTATGCCATAATGGCCACTTAGTCCTGGCATGGGGCTCAGGGGAGTGTCACTTTGTCTCCTGACAGCCAGGGCTGTGTTTTATCATCTCTGGATTTCCAATACCCAACACTTGGCATCAAGGGCATTCAAGGGTATTCTGTCCACAAGCTTTTTTTTTTTTTTTTTGAGACAGAGTTTCGCTCTTGTTGCCCAGGCTGGAGTGCAATGGCGCAATCTCGGCTCACCACAGCCTCCGCCTCCCAGGTTCAAGCGATTCTCCTACCTCAGCCTCCCTAGTAAGCGGGACTACAGGCATGCACCACCACACACAGGCTAATTTTTTGTATTTTTAGTTGAGACGGGGTTTCTCCATGTTGGTCAGGCTAGTCTCGAACTCCCAACCTCAGGTGATCCGCCCACCTCGGCCTCCCAAAGTGCTGGGATTATAGGCATGAACCACCGCGGCTGGCCCCCAAGCATTTCTTGAGTTACTTCTCTGCCAGGCAGTGATGCCCCGGTCTCCTGGTGTACAGCCCCCAGCACGTGTTGGCCAACGTGGGCTGCTCCAGCCCTGGGCTCATGGGGGCCCAGTCTGGAGAGCAGATAGGCCAGAGACATGCTGTCACTCTGCTGGGGTAAGCACAGAGCTGGTGGTGGCCCCGGCACCCTCTAGGGCATGATAAAGGCACTCAGCCTGGAGCTTGGGGACAGCTTCCTAGAACAGGTGGCACTGCCCAGCTGCAGCTGGAGGAGAGAAGAGAGCAGGATGGAGAGGGGAGCTGGGGCTCACAGACACTTCCCAGTGAGGGCCCCCAGAGCACCTCCACTGTGAGCAGAGCAATGGCTTGTGGCACTAGCAGCACCAGGCTTGTCTAGAGCGGTGGCCTCTTCATATCAGATCATTTCTCAGCCCCTCTTCCCCACATGACGGTAGATGAGCTTCAGCATCGGTCGGGGAAGAACACGATGGCAGAGCAGTACTCAGCTGCAGAGAGCTTTGAAGTGAATGCACGTGTTAGTCCTAACACATCCACAGACCCTGTGCAGAGGCGCACCTGGAGGGAGCGTGCTGTGTTTTGCTTACTCCGCTGCGCCATCTCCTGAGCCAGCTGTTGAGTAGTCAGAGCGCAGCAGCCACACCGCATCTGGGGCAAGTTGAGTCAAGATCATTGTGGTTCCCTCAGTCACTCTGAGGCTGCCCAGGGGCCCGGGGCCCCCAGGCTTTAAAGTGTTCTCTCAGTCATGTTTCCTTTCCAAATTCACTCATTCCACAAAGATGGTGGGAGGTACTGGGTTAGAGTGGTGACCACATCAGCTATGGTTACCTCCCACCGATGGGAGCGCACAGACCCCCAAGGGCAGCTGCAAGGGAACGCTGGGTAGAGCGGGTGTGAGGAGGGCGGGGCAGCGGGAGGTTAGGGGGGCGCATTCACCCAGCCATAAGAGGTCAGGGAGCTTCTAGAGCAAGATGTGGTGGAGGCAGTAGCCGAGGAAAGGGATAAGGTGGAAGAGGGTTCCCAAGACAGGGAACAGTGTGGAAAGGCACAGACACTGAGAGGAGGCAAGTGGCACTGCAGGGAAGGAGCTCAGGCAGGGGAGCTGCAGGGCCTGGTGTGCAGGGGAGAACCCTCTGACCGTGGGTGGGAAGTGGGTGGCAAGGAGGGCATGAGACCCACCCCCACCCAGGAGAACGAAGCAACAGGCCTTGGGGGCTGGCTCCCTCCCGTACAGGGGGGTGCGAACATTCAGGCTGGATGGGTGAGTGGCTGATGGCAGGGCCTGAGAAAGCCGACCAGGAGGAAGTGCAGGAGGATGGGGGTGGGAGAGTGAGCAGGTCCCAGGCTGGGTGCTGGGTTGCTGGGTGCTGGGTTGGGGAGTCTCTGAGGCTACCAGATAGAAGCTTCTGTGTATGCAAAACATCAGGTTTGTTGCCCAGAGAGCCCTGGGCTGGGAATGGATGTGGCTCTCCTTGGAGCTGGATGGGAAGACGTGTAGGGCAGAGTGAGTGATCCTGAGAAGCACACAATGGAAGAGACGGAGCCTTCAGAAGAGGAAGCTGGGGACTGCAGGGACACAGAGGCCGTCAGCATACCTCACCTGCCTGCTCCCTGGCGTTCCTGGGGGTAGATGTTCCTAAGGGAGGCGTGTGGGGGTGGCCCCATGTCCCTGATGACTGCTTCCCTCCCCAGAAACCCCTGCAGCAGCTGTGGAACGCCATCCTGCTGGTGGCCATGCTCCTGTGCACAGGCCTCGTGGTCCAGGCCCAGCGGCAGGCGTCGCGGCAGAGCCAGCGGGAGCTCGGAGGCCAGGTGGGAGCCAGCCCCAGGGAGCCCCAGCACCCTCAGCCCTTGGACCTGCAAGACTGTGCCCGTCCTCTCCCCACAGGTGGACCTGTTTAAGCGCCGCGTGGTGCGGAGACTGGCATCCCTCAAGACACGGCGCTGCCGGCTGAGCAGGGCAGCGCAGGGCCTCCCAGATCCGGGTGCTGAGACCTGTGCGGTGTGCCTGGACTACTTCTGCAACAAACAGGCTAGTGCCCCGGGTAGAGACCAGCCATCAGCTCACCTGTGATGCCTCCCACCTTACTCCTGGGACCTTGGAACCACCACCACCAGGCCCTTCTCCTTCAGCCCCCAGGGCCACAGAGCAGAATTTCAGGGGGGTGGGGGAAGCCGTGAGGTTTCAGTTCCCCAGCTGAGGCGAGGGGCATGGGACCAGGCACCCCCACGTGGAGTCCTGCTTCGGTGACCTGAGCCCTTCCTCCCCCACCCCTGTAGTGGCTCCGGGTGCTGCCCTGTAAGCACGAGTTTCACCGAGACTGTGTGGACCCCTGGCTGATGCTCCAGCAGACCTGCCCACTGTGCAAATTCAACGTCCTGGGTGAGCACCAGGGGTGGGGTCCCTCGGCCTACTCTGCCTGCTCCTCACCTGATGCCTCTCTCCCTGTTCTTCTTCCCCTCCCCTGCAGGGAACCGCTACTCCGATGATTAGCTGCCCAGCTGGACTCTGCACATGGGGATGGACCCTTCCTGCCTGCACCCCGGTCCTCAGCCTGGGCTCCCAGGACAGGACAGGATGGGACAGCAGGATAGACAGGACAGCAAGCCCAGTGGGTGGGAGGAAGGATGAGGGCCCCACCATGTCCACACTGGGAAGGAGGGCCCCACAGCTTCAGACTGAGGATCTAGGGCTGGGACCTGTCAGTCAAGGAAGAGAGGTCACTTTGGGACCTTCTCTGCAATCCTGTGACGTGAGTCTGCCCTCCTTACAGGCAGCTCCCAGGTCAATAAGGAAAGAGAATATGGGGCCAGTGTAGCTGTCGCCAGGGTTCTGGGAGCTCCCTGTGGCCTGTCTGGGAATTCCTGGGGGCTGAGACTACAGTGGCCAGGTTTTGTGCTTATTTATTGGGGGGTGGGTTGAGGGAAGAGCTATCTGGCCTTGGGGTACCCTGGCCTGACCGTCTTTCAGGATACTTCTTGTCAAGGCTGTCTGCCTGTTGCCTTTGGTCCTCAAGCACTGGGAGCCATGGGTCCCACTGCCTGTCCAGCCTGGCTCCCTTCCTGGGCCTGGCTAGGACCAGAGGTCTTAGAAACCGTCCTGTTCTGGAATCCTTGGCTGCGGCTTTGTGTTGCTGACCGGGATACTCGAAGCCACAGGATCAATGTGGTGCCTCATCCAGGGGCATCCTTTTTTTTTTTTTTTTTTTTTTTTAAAGAGTTGGAGTAGGGAAGGTTTAATAGTAAAATAAACGTGGCTATATTTTAACATAAGATGTAAAATGTGTATAGGTGTTTTAAGATTTTAAAAAGTTACCTTAGGTTCTACTGCCTGTGGTAGATGGAATTCTAAGATGGCCCCCAAGGTCTCCCACTACCACCTGCCGTGAACATGCCTTGCATTAATATAATTTCTGGAACTGGGACTCAGAGGGATTTTATTTATTTATTTTATTTTTATTTCTTGAGATGGAGTTTCACTCTTGTTGCCCAGGCTGGAGTGCAATGGCGTGATCTCGCCTCACTGCAACCTCCGCCTCCCGGGTTCAAGCAATTCTCCTGTCTCAGCCTCCCAAGTAGCTGGGATTACAGACATGCGCCACCACGCCCGGCTAATTTTGTATTTTTAGTAGAGACGGGGTTTCTCCATGTTGGTCAGGCTGGTCTCGAACTCCCGATCTCAGGTGATCCGCCTGCCTCGGCCTCCCAAAGTGCTGGGATTACAGACGTGAGCCACTGCGCCTGGCTTCTCAAAGGGATTTTATGCCCATGGTTGGGTTCTGTCTTATAGCAAGCTGACCTGAAGATAGGGAAAGTATTTGAGTGTGAGCCTTGCCCTAACCACATGAGCCTATTCAAAGTAGTTTTCTGCTGGTAGAAGAGGAGGAAGTCAGGGATTTGAAGCATGTGGGGGATTCAGCACATGAGAAATCCTCTGTTGTTGACTTGAAGATGGAGGGAGCCCCATGGCAAGGAAGGTGGACGGCCTCTAGGAGCCGTGAGAGGACCTGGCTTACAGCCAGCCAGCGAGGACATGGGGACCTCAGTCCCACAGCCGCAAGGATCGGAATTCTGCCAACAAGTGGAGCTTGGAAGCCAATTCTTCCCCAGAACCGGCAGAAAGGAACGCAACCTGGTAGATGCCTCAATTTCAGCCCTCTGGGACCCGGAGCAAAAAAACCCAGCCACACAGAACCTGGACTTCTGACTGCCAGAACTGGGAGCTAATGAATACATGGCACGGAGTTGGTGGGCGCCTGAGAGAGCTACTCAGCTGTGAGGTCCTTCCCCTGGACTTGAGCACAGGCCTTCTGGCTCAGGGTGCTGAGGGATGGTGCTCCCCTGTGAGGGGGGTGCCCGGGGCACCCCAGCCTCCCTCAGGAACTCCCAGGCCCCTCAGAAGCAGGAAGTTGGGCTGACCAAAGCTGTGGTAGCTCAGCTATATACATGGCCCCTCTTGACCCTTCTCTGTGAACTGAGGTGCTCTACCTGACGGCCTCTTCACCAAGGGAAAATGCTTCAGGCATTTGGGAGCGTGCGCCCTGAGAAGGCCTCAGCAAGTTTTTGGAGATTGTCCTTCACAGGTGAGGTGGCTCAGGGTAGGCTGGTGGCTTCATGAGGAAAACCAGAGCCCCAGATGCTTGGCCGCATGGCACCCTGGGCTGAAGAGACCCCCAAGGGACAGGGATGGGAAAGCCAGGGCTGGCAGGGTGTCCTCTGCTTGGTGGAGGCCTTGCCCCGCCTTCAGTGGCCTCCTGGGGCTATGATCTCCAGGATTTAGAGAAACCTTCATGACGGTCACCATTTCCTAAAGGCAAGGAGTTCCTCAGTGAAAGGAGGCCTGACCTCTTGGGTCCTTAATGTGCCCAGCGCAGGTCCAGAGCCAGGGTGGGAGGCTGAAGGCGTTGCTGCCCTCTGCCTGCTTCAGACATCCTCACCGGCCCTTCCTCTGTCCACTCCCACCTGACCCCTTCCTGAGTCAGTGCGGGCCACTGAGCCAAGGTTCACCCCTCGACCCTTGCTCTGGGGATAGAAAAACGGACCTTCACCTGGCCCAGGTCTTAGGAGCTTCCTCTGCCCTGGGTGTACTCTCCTATCCCACAGCCTCTGTCGGGAGGGAAGCAGGAAGGCCCCTTTTACTGAGGGCCCATAGTGCCAGGACTCTGCTGACTGACTGAACTACATGGCTGGGGACTCAGTGGCCCCTGCCCAGGACAGGGAAGGAAGGGTTCTTTCCTTGGCTCAGTCATACTGTGAGGCAAAGATTGCTGTGGGCCAATGGCTGGGGCTTTATTACAGTGGGTGGGCTGCCAGCCACCTCCCATCCAGCCTCAGCCCTGGGCCACAGGCTACATGGGCCGCTCCTGGGGCTGGTGTGCAGAGCTGGCCTGTCCCCGGCCAGGTGACAGTCTCTTTCTCAGCCTGACCAAGACCTTGATGGGGTTCTGGGTGCAGGTGTCCAAGTGGGTCACACCCTCCAGCAAGGACTTGCTGGGCTGGCTGCAGGGCTGCCGAGATGGGGATGTGCAGGGCTGCCGAGGTGGGGATGTGCAGGGCTGCCGAGGTGGGGATGTGCAGGGCTGCCGAGGTGGGGATGTGCAGGGCTGGCCCAGCAGGGTCCTACCCGTCCTGCTGCTAGGAAGGTGCTGTCTGCCCAGAGGCCTGAAGGAAAACCAGATCCAAGATCCCCTGTGAATGCAGGGAACACTCCACTCACCTGCCCCACCTCCAGTAAAGCCTCACTCACCCTGGGGATGTGCTCTTGGCCTGGACTGGTGGTGTTGCTCCCTGGGTTCCCTTGCTGGAAGGGGACCAGAGCCGGTCCTGCGGGATCAGCTACAAAAAAAAAAAAAAAGCCAGTCTT